>NC_000001.11:125173583-125184587 GCF_000001405.40 Homo sapiens | reverse complement strand
AGAGAATCATCGAACGGACTCGAATGGAATCATCTAATGGAATGGAATGGAAGAATCCATGGACTCGAATGCAATCATCATCGAATGGAATCGAATGGAATCATCGAATGGACTCGAATGGAATAATCATTGAACGGAATCGAATGGAGTCATCATCGGATGGAAACGAATGGAATCATCATCGAATGGAATCGAATGGGATCATCAAATGGAATCAGATGGAATCATTATCAAATGGAATCGAATAGAATTATGGAATGAAATCCAATATAATCATCATTGAATGGACTCGAATGGAATCATCATCCAATGGAAACTAATGGATCAACATCGAATGGAATCGAATGGAATCATCGAATGAAATTGATTGAAATCATCATCAAATGGAATCGAAAGGAATCATTGAATGGAATCGAATGGAATCATCATCAGATGGAAATGCATGGAATGATCATAGAATGTAATCTCATGGATTCATTCAATGGAATCAGATGGAATCATCGAATGGACTTGAATGGAATCGTTGAATGGACTCGAATGGAATCATTATTGAATGGAATTGAATAGAATCATCGAATGGTCTCGAATGGAATAATTATCAAATGAAGTCGAATGGAATCACCGAATAGAATCGAATGGAACCATCATCGAATGGACTCAAATGGAATTATCCTCAAATGGAATCAAATGGATTTATTGAATGCAATCGAATGGAATTATCGAATGCAATCGAATAGAATCATCGAATGGACTCGAATGGAATCATCGAATGGAATGCAATGGATTAATCCATGGACTCGAATTCAATCACCATCGAATACAATCGAATGGAGTCATCGAATCGACTCAAATGGAATAATCATTGAATGGAATCGAATGGAATCATCGAGTGGAATCGAATGGAATCATGATCAAATGGAATCGAATGTAATCATCATCAAATGGAATCAAAAATAACCATCATCAATTGGTATTGAATGGAATTGTCATCAAATGGAATTCAAAGGAATCATCATCAAATGGAACCGAATGGAATCCTCATTGAATGGAAATGAAAGGAGTCATCATCTAATGGAATCGCATGGAATCATCATCAAATGGAATCGAATGGAATCATCATCAAATGGAATCTAATGGAATCATTGAACGGAATGGAATGGAATCGTCATCGAATGAATTGAATGCAATCAACGAATGGTCTCGAATGGAACCACCTCCAAATGGAATGGAATGGAATCATCACATAGAATGGAATGCAATTATCATCGAATGGACTCGATGCATCACATCAAACGGATCAACGATATCGATGGCATCGAGAGAATCATCGATGGACTCGAATGGAATCATCTAATGGAATGGAATGGAATAATCCATGGACTCGAATGCAATCATCATCGAATGGAATCGAATGGAATCATCGAATGGACTCGAATGAAATAATCATTGAACGGAATCGAATGGAATCATCATCGGATGGAAACGAATGGAATCATCATCGAATGGAAATGAAAGGAGTCATCATCTAATGGAATTGCATGGAATCATCATAAAATGGAATCGAATGGAATCAACATCAAATGGAATCAAATGGAATCATTGAACGGAATTGAATGGAATCGTCATCGAATGAATTGAATGCAATCATCGAATGGTCTCGAATGGAATCACCTTCAAATGGAATGGAATGGAATCATCGCATAGAATCGAATGGAATTATCATCGAATGGAATCGAATGGAATCAACATCAAACGGAAAAAAACGGAATTATCGAATGGAATCGAAGAGAATCATTGAACGGACTTGAATGGAATCATCTAATGGAATGGAATGGAAGAATCCATGGACTCGAATGCAATCATCATCGAATGGAATCGAATGGAATCATCGAATGGACTCGAATGGAATAATCATTGAACGGAATCGAATGGAATCATCATCGGATGGAAATGAATGGAATCATCATCGAATGGAATCGAATAGAATTATGGAATGAAATCCAGTGTGATCATCATCGAATGGACCCGAATGGAATCATCATCCAACGGAAGCTAATGGAATCAACATCGAATGAATCGAATGGAAACACCATCGAATTGAAACGAATGGAATTATCATGAAATTGAAATGGATGGACTCATCATCGAATGGATTCGAATGGAATCATCGAATAAAATTGATTGAAATCATCATCGAATGGAATCGAATGGTATCATTGAATGGAATCGAATGGAATCATCATCAGATGGAAATGAATGGAATCGTCATAGAATGGAATCGAATGGATTCATTGAATGGAATCAGATGGAATCATCGAATGGACTGGAATGGAATCATTGAATGGACTCGAAAGGGATCATTATTGAATGGAATTGAATGGAATCATCGAATGGTCTCGATTGGAATCATTATCAAATGGAATCGAATGGAATCACCGAATAGAATCGAATGGAACAATCATCGAATGGACTCAAATGGAATTATCCTCCAATGGAATCGAATGGAATTATCGAATGCAATCGCATGGAATTATCGAATGCAATCGAATAGAATCATCGAATGGAATCGAATGGAATCATCGAATGGAATGGAATGGAACAGTCAATGAACTCGAATGGAATCATGATTGAATGGAATCATCGAGTGGAATCGAATGGAATCATGATCAAATGGAATCGAATGTAATCATCATCAAATGGAATCAAAAATAACCATCATCAATTGGTATTGAATGGAATTGTCATCAAATGGAATTCAAAGGAATCATCATCAAATGGAACCGAATGGAATCCTCATTGAATGGAAATGAAAGGAGTCATCATCTAATGGAATCGCATGGAATCATCATCAAATGGAATCGAATGGAATCATCATCAAATGGAATCTAATGGAATCATTGAACGGAATTGAATGGAATCGTCATCGAATGAATTGAATGCAATCAACGAATGGTCTCGAATGGAACCATCTCCAAATGGAATGGAATGGAATCATCGCATAGAATCGAATGGAATTATCATCGAATGGACTCGAATGGAATCAACATCAAACGGAATCAAACGGAATTATCGAATGGAATCGAAGAGAATCATCGAACGGACTCGAATGGAATCATCTAATGGAATGGAATGGAAGAATCCATGGACTCGAATGCAATCATCATCGAATGGAATCGAATGGAATCATCGAATGGACTCGAATGGAATAATCATTGAACCGAATCGAATGGAATCATCATCGGATGGAAACGAATGGAATCATCAAATGGAATCAGACGGAATCATCATCAAATGGAATCGAATAGAATGATGGAATGAAATCCATTGTGATCATCATCGAATGGACTCGAATGGAATCATCATCCAATGGAAACTAATGGAATCAACATCGAATGGAATCGAATGGAAACACCATCGTATTGAAACGAATGGATTTTTCATGAAATTGAAATGGATGGACTCATCATCGAATGGATTCGAATGGAATCATCGAATGAAATTGATTGAAATCATCATCAAACGGAATCGAATGGAATCATTGAATGGAATCGAATGGAATCATCATCAGATGGAAATGAATGGAATCATCATAGAATGGAATCGAATGGATTCATTGAATGGAATCAGATGGAATCATCGAATGGACTTGAATGGAATCATTGAATGGGACTCGAATGGAATCATTATTGAATGGAATTGAATGGAATCATCGAATGGTCTCGATTGGAATCATTATCAAATGGAATCGAATGGAATCACCGAATAGAATCGAATGGAACAATCATCGAATGGACTCAAATGGAATTATCCTCCAATGGAATCGAATTGAATTATCGAATGCAATCGAATGGAATTATCGAATGCAATCGAATAGAATCATCGAATGGACTCGAATGGAATCATCGAATGGAATGGAATGGAACAGTCAATGAACTCGAATGGAATCATCATTGAATGGAATCGAATGGAATCATCGAGTGGAATCGAATGGAATTATGATCAAATGGAATCGAATGTAATCATCATCAAATGGAATCAAAAATAACCATCATCAATTGGTATTGAATGGAATTGTCATCAAATGGAATTCAAAGGAAACATCATCAAATGGAACCGAATGGAATCCTCATTGAATGGAAATGAAAGGGGTCATCATCTAATGGAATCGCATGGAATCATCATCAAATGGAATCGAATGGAATCATCATCAAATGGAATCTAATGGAATCATTGAACAGAATTGAATGGAATCGTCATCGAATGAATTGAATGCAATCATCGAATGGTCTCGAATGGAATCATCTTCTAATGGAAAGGAATGGAATCATCGCATAGAATCGAATGGAATTATCATCGAATGGAATCGAATGGTATCAACACCAAACGGAAAAAAACGGAATTATCGAATGGAATCGAAGAGAATCTTCGAACGGACCCGAATGGAATCATCTAATGGAATGGAATGGAATAATCCATGGACTCGAATGCAATCATCATCGAATGGAATCGAATGGAATCATCGAATGGACTCGAATGGAATAATCATTGAACGGAATCGAATGGAATCATCATCGGATGGAAACGAATGGAATCATCATCGAATGGAAATGAAAGGAGTCATCATCTAATGGAATTTCATGGAATCATCATAAAATGGAATCGAATGGAATCAACATCAAATGGAATCAAATGGAATCATTGAACGGAATTGAATGGAATCGTCATCGAATGAATTGAATGCAATCATCGAATGGTCTCGAATGGAATCATCTTCAAATGGAATGGAATGGAATCATCGCATAGAATCGAATGGAATTATCATCGAATGGAATCGAATGGAATCAACATCAAACGGAAAAAAACGGAATTATCGAATGGAATCGAAGAGAATCATCGAATGGACCCGAATGGAATCATCTAATGGAATGGAATGGAATAATCCATGGACTCGAATGCAATCATCATCGAATGGAATCGAATGGAATCATCGAATGGACTCGAATGGAATAATCATTGAACGGAATCGAATGGAATCATCATCGGGTGGAAATGAATGGAATCATCATCGAATGGAATCGAATAGATTATGGAATGAAATCCAGAATGATCATCATCGAATGGACCCGAATGGAATCATCATCCAACGGAAGCTAATGGAATCAACATCGAATGAATCAAATGGAAACACCATCGAATTGAAACGAATGGAATTACCATGAAATTGAAATGGATGGACTCATCATCGAATGGATTCGAATGGAATCATCGAATAAAATTGATTGAAATCATCATCGAATGGAATCGAATGGTATCATTGAATGGAATCGAATGGAATCATCATCAGATGGAAATGAATGGAATCGTCATAGAATGGAATCGAATGGATTCATTGAATGGAATCAGATGGAATCATCGAATGGACTGGAATGGAATCATTGAATGGACTCGAAAGGGATCATTATTGAATGGAATTGAATGGAATCATCGAATGGTCTCGATTGGAATCATTATCAAATGGAATCGAATGGAATCACCGAATAGAATCGAATGGAACAATCATCGAATGGACTCAAATGGAATTATCCTCCAATGGAATCGAATGGAATTATCGAATGCAATCGAATGGAATTATCGAATGCAATCGAATAGAATCATCGAATGGACTCGAATGGAATCATCGAATGGAATGGAATGGAACAGTCAATGAACTCGAATGGAATCATCATTGAATGGAATCGAATGGAATCATCGAGTGGAATCGAATGGAATCATGATCAAATGGAATCGAAAGTAATCATCATCAAATGGAATCAAAAATAAACATCATCAATTGGTATCGAATGGAATTGTCATCAAACGGAATTCAAAGGAATCATCATCAAATGGAACCGAATGGAATCCTCATTGAATGGAAATGAAACGAGTCATCGTCTAATGGAATCGCATGGAATCATCATCAAATGGAATCGAATGGAATCATCATCAAATGGAATCTAATGGAATCATTGAGCGGAATTGAATGGAATCGTCATCGAATGAATTGAATGCAATCAACGAATGGTCTCGAATGGAACCACCTCCAAATGGAATGGAATGGAATCATCGCATAGAATCGAATGGAATTATCATCGAATGGACTCGAATGGAATCAATATCAAACGGAATCAAACGGAATTATCGAATGGAATCGAAGAGAATCATCGAACGGACTCGAATGGAATCATCTAATGGAATGGAATGGAAGAATCCATGGACTCGAATGCAATCATCATCGAATGGAATCGAATGGAATCATCGAATGGACTCGAATGGAATAATCATTGAACGGAATCGAATGGAATCATCATCGGATGGAAACGAATGGAATCATCATCGAATGGAATCGAATGGGATCATCAAATGGAATTAGATGGAATCATCATCAAATGGAATCGAATAGAATTATGGAATGAAATCCAATGTGATCATCATTGAATGGACTCGAATGGAATCATCATCCAATGGAAACTAATGGAATCAACATCGAATGGAATCGAATGGAACCACCATCGAATTGAAACGAATGGAATTATCATGAAATTGAAAGGGATGGACTCATCATCGAATGGATTCGAATGGAATCATCGAATGAAATTGATTGAAATCATCATCAAATGGAATCGAATGGAGTCATTGAATGGAATCGAATGGAATCATCATCAGATGGAAATGAATGGAATCATCATAGAATGGAATCGAATGGATTCATTGAATGGAATCAGATGGAATCATCGAATGGACTTGAATGGAATCATTGAATGGACTCGAATGGAATCATTATCAAATGGAATCGAATGGAATCACCGAATAGAATCGAATGGAACAATCATCGAATGGACTCAAATGGAATTATCCTCCAATGGAATCGAATGGAATTATCGAATGCAATCGAATGGAATAATTGAATGCAATCAAATAGAATCATCGGACGGACTTGAATGGAATCATCGATTGAAATGGAATGGAATAGTCAATAAACTCGAATGGAATCATCATTGAATGGAATCATCGAGTGGAATCGAATGGAATCCTCATTGAATGGAAATGAAAGGAGTCATCATCTAATGGAATCGCATGGAATCATCATCAAATGGAATCGAATGGAATCATCATCAAATGGAATCTAATGGAATCATTGAACGGAATTGAATGGAATGGACATCGAATGAATTGAATGCAATCAACGAATGGTCTCGAATGGAACCACCTCCAAATGGAATGGAATGGAATCATCGCATAGAATCGAATGGAATTATCATCGAATGGACTCGAATGGAATCAACCTCAAACGGAATCAAACGGAATTATCGTATGGAATCGAAGAGAATCATCGAATGGACTCGAATGGAATCATGTAATGGAATGGAATGGAAGAATCCATGGACTCGAATGCAATCATCATCGAATGGAATCGAATGGAATAATCGAATGGACTCGAATGGAATAATCATTGAACGGAATCGAATGGAATCATCATCGGATGGAAACGAATGGAATCATCAAATGGAATCAGATGGAATCATCATCAAATGGAATCGAATAGAATTATGGAATGAAATCCATTGTGATCATCATCGAATGGACTCGAATGGAATCATCATTCAATGGAACCTAATGGAATCAACATCGAATGGAATCGAATGGAAACACCATCGAATTGAAACGAATGGATTTATCATGAAATTGAAATGGATGGGCTCATCATCGAATGGATTCGAATGGAATCATCGAATGAAATTGATTGAAATCATCATCCAATGGAATCGAAAGGAATCATTGAATGGAATCGAATGAAATCATCATCAGATGGAAATGAATGGAATCATTGAATGGAATGAAATGGAATCATCATCAGATGGAAATGAATGGAATCATCATAGAATGGAATCCAATGGATTCATTGAATGGAATCAGATGGAATCATTGAATGGACTTGAATGGAATCATTGAATGGACTCGAATGGAATCATTATTGAATGGAATTGAATGGAATCATCGAATGGTCTCGAAAGGAATCATTATCAAATGGAATCGAATGGAATCACCGAATAGCATCGAATGGAACAATCATCGAATGGACTCAAATGGAATTGTCCTCAAATGGAATCGAATGGAATTATCGAATGCAATCGAACAGAATCATCGAATGGATTTGAAAGGAATCATCGATTGAAATGGAATGGAATAGTAAATGAACTCGATTTGAATCATCATTGAATGGAATCATCGAGTGGAATCGAATGGAATCATGATCAAATGGAATCGAAAGTAATAATCATCAAATGGAATCAAAATAACCATCATCAATTGGTATCGAATGGAATTGTCATCAAACGGAATTCAAAGGAATCATCATCAAATGGAACCGAATGGAATCCTCATTGAATGGAAATGAAAGGAGTCATCATCTAATGGAATCGCATGGAATAATCATCAAATGGAATCGAATGGAATCATCGAATGGACTCGAATGGAATAATCATTGAACGGAATCGAATGGAATCATCATCGGATGGAAACGAATGGAATCATCATCGAATGGAATCGAATGGGATCCTCAAAAGGAATCAGATGGAATCATCATCAAATGGAATCGAATAGAATTATGGAATGAAATCCAATGTGATCATCATCGAATGGACTTGAATGGAATCATGAACCAATGGAAACTAATGGAATCAACATCGAATGGAATCGAATGGAAACACCATCGAATTGAAACGAATGGATTTATCATGAAATTGAAATGGATGGACTCATCATCTAATGGATTCGAATGGAATCATCGAATGAAATTGATTGAAATCATCCTCAAATGGAATCGAATGGAATCATTGAATGGAATCGAATGGAATCATCATCAGATGGAAATGAATGGAATCATCATAGGATGGAATCGAATGGATTCATTGAATGGAATCAGATGGAATCATCGAATGGACTTGAATGGAATCATTGAATGGACTCGAATGGAATCATTATTGAATGGAATTGAATGGAATCATCGAATGGTCTCGAATGGAATCATTATCAAATGGAATCGAATGGAATCACCGAATAGAATCGAATGGAACAATCATCGAATGGACTCAAATGGAATTATCCTCAAATGGAATCGAATGGAATTATCGAATGCAATCGAATGGAATAATCAAATGCAATCGAATAGAATCATCGAATGGACTCGAATGGTATCATCGAATGGAGTGGAATGGAATAGTCAATGAACTCGAATGGAATCATCATTGAATGTAATCTAATGGAATCCTCGAGTGGAATCGAATGTAAACATGATCAAATGGAATCGAATGTAATCATCATCAAATGGAATCAAAAATAGTCATCATCAATTGGTATTGAATGGAATTGTCATCAAATGGAATTCAAAGGAATCATCATCTAATGGAACCGAAAGGCATCCTCATTGAATAGAAATGAAAGGAGTCATCATCTAATGGAATCGCATGGAATCATCATCAAATGGAATCGAATGGAATCATCATCAAATGGAATATAATGGAATCATTGAACGGAATTGAAAGGAATCGTCATCGAATGAATTGAATGCAATCATCAAATGGTCTCGAATAGAATCATCTTCAAATTGAATGGAATGGAATCATCGCATAGAATTGAATGGAAATATCATCCAATGGACTCGAATGGAATCAACATCAAACGGAATCAAACGGAATTATCTAATGGAATCGAAGAGAATCGTCGAAGGAACTCGAATGGAATCATCTAATGGAATGGAATGGAATTATCCATGGACTCGAACGCAATCATCATCGAACGGAATCGAATGGAATCATGGATTGGACTCGAATGGAATAATCATTGAACCGAATCGAATGGAATCATCTTATGATGGAAGCGAATGGAATCATCATCGAATGGAATCGAATGGAATCATCAAATGGAATCAGATGGAATCATCATCAATGGAATCGAATAGAATTATTGAATGAAATCCAATGTGATCATCATCGAATGGACTCGAACGGAATCATCATCCAATGGAAATTCATGGAATCAACATCGAATGGAATCGAATGGAAACACCATCGAATTGAAACGAATGGAATTATCATGAAATTGAAATGGATGGACTCATCTTCGAATGGATTGAATGGAATTGTCATCAAATGAAATTGATTGAAATCATCATCAAATGGAACCGAATGGAATCCTCATTGAATGGAAATGAAAGGAGTCATCATCTAATGGAATCGCATGGAATCATCATCAAATGGAATTGAATGGAATCATCATTAAATGGAATCTAATGGAATCATTGAACGGAATTGAATGGAATCGTCATCGAATGAATTGAATGCAATCAACGAATGGTCTCAAATGGAACCACCTCCAAATGGAATGGAATGGAATCATCGCATAGAATCGAATGGAATTATCATCGAATGGACTCGAATGGAATCAACATCAAACGGAATCAAACGGAATTATCGAATGGAATCGAAGAGAATCATCGAATGGACTGGAATGGAATCATCTAATGGAATGGAATGGAAGAATCCATGGACTCGAATACAATAATCATCGAATAGAATCGAATGGAATCATCGAATGGACTTGAATGGAATAATCATTGAACGGAATCGAATGGAATCATCATCGGATCGAATCGAATGGAATCATCATCGAATGAAATTGAAAGGAGTCATCATCTAATGGAATCGCATGGAATCATCATCAAATGGAATCGAATGGAATCATCATCAAATGGAATCTGATGGAATCATTGAACGGAATTGAATGGAATCTTCAACGAATGAATTGAATGCAATCATCGAATGGTCTCGAATGGAATCATCTTCCAATGGAAAGGAAAGGAATCATCGCATACAATCGAATGGAATTATCATCGAATGGACTCGAATGGAATCAACATCAAACGGAATCAAACGGAATTATCGAATGGAATCGAAGAGAATCATCGAA
>NC_000001.11:125131847-125171347 GCF_000001405.40 Homo sapiens | reverse complement strand
GAATGGAATCGAAAGGATTCATTGAATGGAATCAGATGGAATCATCGAATGGACTTGAATGGAATCATTGAATGGACTCGAATGGAATCATTATTGAATGGAATTGAATGGAATCATCGAATGGTCTCGAATGGAATCATTATCAAATGGAATCGAATGGAATCACCGAATAGAATCGAATGGAACAATCATCGAATGGACTCAAATGGAATTATCATCAAATGGTATCGAATGGAATTATCGAATGCAATCGAATGGTATTATCGAATGCAATCAAATAGAATCATCGGGTGGACTCGAATGGAATCATCGAATGGAATTGAATGGAATAGTCAATGGACACGAATGGAATCATCATTGAATGGAATCGAATGGAATCATCGAGTGGAATCGAATGGAATCACGATCAAATGGAATCGAATGTAATCATCATCAAATGGAATCAAAAATAAGCATCATCAATTGGTATTGAATGGATTTGTCATCAAATGGAATTCAAGGGAATCATCATCAAATGGAACCGAACGGAATCCTACTTGAATGGAAATGGAAGGAGTCATCATCTAATGGAATCGCATGGAATAATCATCAAATGGAATCGAATGGAATCATCATCGAATGGACTCATCATCAAATCGAATATAATGGCATCATTGAAGGGAATTGAATGGAACCGTCCTCGAATGAATTGAATGCAATCATCGAATGGTCTCGAATGTGATCATCTTCAAATGGAAAGGAATGGAATCATCGCATAGAATCGAATGGAATTATCATTGAATGGACCGAATGGAATCATCATCAAATGGAATCTAATGGAATAATTGAACGGAATTGAATGGAATCGTCATCGAATGAATTGAATGCAATCAACGAATGGTCTCGAATGGAATCATCTCCAAATGGAATGGAATGGAATCATCGCAAAGAATCGAATGGAATTATCATCGAATGGACTCGAATGGAATCAACATCAAACGGAATCAAACGGAATTATCGAATGGAATCGGAGAGAATCATCGAATGGAATCGAATGGAATCATCTAATGGAATGGAATGCAATAATCCATGGACTCGAATGCAATCACCATCGAATAGAATCGAATGGAGTCATCGAATGGTCTCGAATGTAATAATCATAAAACGGAATCGAATGGAATCATCATCGGATGGAAAGGAATGGAATCATCATCGAATGGAAATGAAAGGGGTCATCATCTAATGGAATCGCATGGAATCATCATCAAATGGAATCGAATGGAATCATCAAATGTTATCTAATGGAATCATTCAACGGAATTCAATGGAATCGTCATTGAATGAATTGAATGCAATCATCGAATGGTCTCGAATGGAATCATCTTCAAATGGAAAGGAATGGAATCATCGCATAGAATCGAATGGAATTATCATCGAATGGACTCACATGGAATCAACATCACACGGAATCAAACGGAATTATAGAATGGAATCCAAGAGAATCATCGAAAGGACTCGAATGGAATCATCTAATGAAATAGAATGGAATAATCCATGGACTCGAATGCAATCATCATCAAATGGAATCGAATGGAATCGGCGAATGGACTCAAATGGAATAAACATTGAACGGAATCGAATGGAATCATCATCGGATGGAAACGAATGGAATCATCATCGAATGGAATCAAATGGGATCATCAAATGGAATCAGATGGAATCATCATCAAATGCAATCGAATAGAATTATGGAATGAAATCCAATGTGATCATCATCGAATGGAGTCGAATGGAATCATCATCCAATGGAAACTAATGGAATCAACATCGAATGGAATCGAATGGAAACACCATCGAATGGAAACGAATGGAATTATCATGGAATTGAAATGGATGGACTCATCATCGAATGGATTTGAATGGAATCATCGAATGAAATTGATTGAAATCATCATCAAATGGAATCGAATGGAATCATTGAATGCAAACTATTGGAATCATCATCAGATGGAAATGAATGAAATCATCATACAATGGAATCGAATGGATTCATTGAATGGAATCAGATGGAATCATCGAATGGACTTGAATGGAATCATTGAATGGACTCGAATGGAATCATTATTGCATGGAATTGAATGGAATCATCGAATGGTCTCGAATGGAATCATTATCAAATGGAATCGAATGGAGTCACTGAATAGAATCGAATGGAACAAACATCGAATGGACTCAAATGGAATTATCGTCAAATGGAATCGAATGGAATTATCGAATGCAATCGAATGGAATTATGGAATGCAATTGTATTGAATCATCGAAATTACTCGAATGGAATCATCGAATGGAATGGAATGGAATAGTCAATGAACTCGAATGGAATCACCATTGAATGGAATCGAATGAAATGATCGAGTGGAATCGAATGGAATCACGATTAAATGGAATCGAATGTAATCATCATAAAACGGAATCAAAAATAACCATCATCAATTGGTATTGAATTGAATTGTCATCAAATGGAATTCAAAGGAATCTTCATCAAATGGAACCGAATGGAATCCTCATTGAATGGAAATGAAAGGAGTCATCATCTAATGGAAACGCATGGAATCATCATCAAATGGAATCGAATGGCATCATCATCAAATGGAATCTAATGGAATCATTGAACGGAATTGAATGGAATTGTCATCGAATGAATTGAATGCAATCATCGAATGGTCTGGAATGGAATCATCTTCACATGGAAAGGAATCGAATCATCACATAGAATCGAATGGAATTATCATCAAATGGTCTCAAATGGAATTATCCTCAAATGGAATCGAATGGTATTATCGAATGCAATCGAATGGAATAATCGAATGCAATTGAATAGAATCATCGAATGGACTCGAATGGAATCATCGAATGGAATGGAATAGAAGAGTCAATGAAATCGAATGGAATCATCATTTAATGGAATCGAATGGAATCATCGAGTGGAATCGAATGTAATTATGATCAAATAGAATCGAATGTAATCATCATCAAATGGAATCAAAAATAACCATCATCAATTGGTATTGAATGGAATTGTCATCAAGTGGAATTCATAGCAATCATCATCAAATGGAACCGAATGGAATCCTCATTGAATGGAAATGAAAGGGGTCATCATCTAATGGAATCGCATGGAATCATCACCAAATGGAATCGAATGGAATCATTGAACGGAATTGAATGGAATCTTCATCGAATGAACTGAATGCAATCATCGAATGGTCTCGAATGGAATCATCTTCCAATGGAAAGTAAAGGAATCATCGCATACAATCGAATGGAATTATCATCGAATGGACTCGAATGGAATCAACATCAAACGGAATCAAACGGAATTATCGAATGGAATCGAAGAGAATCATCGAATGGACTCGAATGGAATCATCTAATGGAATGGAATGGAATAATCCATGGACTCGAATGCAATCATCATCGAATGGAATCGAATGGAATCATCGAATGGACTCGAATGGAATAATCATTGAACGGAATCGAATGGAATCATCATCGGATGGAAACGAATGGAATAATCATCGAATGGAATCGAATGGAATCATCAAATGGAATCAGATGGAATCATCATCAAATGGAATCGAATAGAATTATGGAATGAAATCCAATGTGATCATCATCGAATGGACTCGAATGGAATCATCATCCAATGGGAACTAATGGAATCAACATCGAATGGAATCGAATGGAAACACCATCGAATTGAAACGAATGGAATTATCATGAAATTGAAATGGATGGACTCATCATCGAATGGATTCGAATGTAATCATTGAATGAAATTGATTGAAATCATCATCAAATGGAATCGAATGGAATCATTGAATGGAATCGAATGGAATCATCATCAGATGGAAATGAATGAAATCATCATAGAATGGAATCGAATGGATTCATTGAATGGAATCAGATGGAATCATCGAATGGACTTGAATGGAATCATTGAATGGACTCGAATGGAATCATTATTGAACGGAATTGAATGGAATCATCGAATGGTCTCGAATGGAATCATTATCAAATGGAATCGAATAGAATCATTGAATAGAATCGAATGGAACAATCATCGAATGGACTCAAATGGAATTATCCTCAAATGGAATCGAATGGAATTATCGAATGCAATCGAATGGAATTATCGAATGCAATCGAATAGAATCATCGAATGGACTCGAATGGAATCTTCGAATGGAATGGAAAGGAATAGTCAATGAACTCGAATGGAATCATCATTGAATGGAATCGAATGGAATCATTGAGTGGAAACGAATGGAATCATGATCAAATGGAATCGAATGTAATCATCATCAAATGGAATCAAAAATAACCATCATCAATTGGTATTGAATGGAATTGTCATCAAATGGAATTCAAAGGAATCATCATCAAATGGAACCGAATGGAATCCTGATTGAATGGATATGAAAGGAGTCATCATCTAATGGAATCGCATTGAATCATCATCAAATGGAATCGAAAGAATCATCATCAAATGGTATCTAATGTAATCAGTGAACGGAATTGAATGGAATCGTCATCGAATGAATTGAATGCAATCATCGAATGGTCTCGAATGGTATCATCTTCAAATGGAAAGGAATGGAATCATCGCATAAAATCGAGTGGAATTATCATCGAATGGACACGAATGGAATCAACATCAAACGGAATCAAACGGAATTATCGAATGTAATCGAAGAGAATCATCGAATGGACTCGAATAGTATCATCTAATGCAATGGAATGGAATAATCCATGTACTCGAATGTAATCATCATCAAATAGAATCGAATGGAATCATTGAGTGGACTCGAATGGAATAATCATTGAACGGAAACGAATGGAATCATCATCGAATGGATTTGAAAGGAGTCATCATCTAATGGAATCGCTTGGAATCATCATCAAATGGAATCGAATGGAATCATCATCAAATGGAATCTCACGGAATCATTGAACGGAATTGAATGGAATCGTCATCGAATGAATTGAATGCAATCATCGAATGGTCTCGAATGGAATCATCTTCAAATGGAAAGGAATGGAATCATCGCATAGAATTGAATGGAATTATCATTGAATGGAGTCAAAAGGAATCATCGAATGGACACAAATGGAATCATCATCGAATGGAATCAAAAGGAATCATTGAATGGAATTGAACGGAATCATCATTGAATGGAATCGAATGGAGTAATACTGGAATGGAGTCGAATGCGATCATCATCGAATGGAATCAAATGGAAACATCATCGAATGGGATCGAATGGAATCATCAATGAATGGAAGCGAATGGAATCATCAATGAATGGAATCTAATGAGGTCATCGAATGGAGTCCATTGGGTGAATCATCGAATGGAACCGAATGCAGTCATCATCAAATGAAATCAAGTGGAATCATCGAATGGACTCGATGGAATCATCATCGAATCGAATGGAATGGAATCATCGAATGGACTCGAATACAATCATCCAATGGACTTGAATGGAATCATCATCAAATGGAATCCAAAGGAATCATCGAATGGACTTGAATTGAAGTATCATCGAGTGGAATCAAATGGAATCATTGAATGCACTTGAATGGAATCATCAACGAATGGAATCAAATGGAATCTACCAATGGAATCGAGTGGAATGACAATTGAATGGAATTAAATGGAATCGTCATTGAATGGAATCAAATGGAATCATCATCGAATGGAATCTAATGGAATCATCATCTAATGGAAACGAATGGAATCATCAACGAATGGAATCAAAGGCAGAAATAGAATGGAATCCGTTGGAATCATCATCAAATGGAACCAAATGCTGTCATCATTGAATGGAATCGAATGGAATCATCAAATGGGTTAGAATGGAATCATCAAATGGGTTAGAATGGAATCATCATTGAATGGAATTGAATGGAAACATCGAATGGACTCTAATGGAATGACAATCTAATGGAATTGAATGGAATCATCGAATGTACACGAATGGCATCATCGTTGAATGGATTCAAATGAAATCATCGAATGACATCGAATGGAATCATCTTCGAATGGAATCTAATGAAATCATCGAAAGTACTCAAATGGAATCATCGAATGGATTGAGTGGAATCATCATCAAATGGAATAGAATGGAATCATCGAATGGACTCGAATGGAATCATCTTCAAATGGAATCAAATATAATCATAATCAAATGAATCGTATGGAATCATCATCTATAGGATTCGATTGGAACAATCATTGAATAGAATCGAATGGAATCACTAAATTGAATCAAATGGAAGGATCACGAAATGGATTCGAAGGGAATCATCCAATGGGATTGAACAGAGTCATCAAATGGAATCGAGTGAAATCATCGAATGGATTCAAATGGAATCATCATTGAATGGAATCAAATGGAATCATCGAATAGACACGAATGCAATATTCATTGAATGGACTCGAATGGAATCCTCAAATGGAGTCGAATGTAATCATCACAGAACAGAATCGAATGGAATAATCGAATAGCATCGAATGGAATCATCGTCGAATGCAGTCAAATGGAATCATCGAATGGACTGGAACGGAATCATCATGCAATGAAATCGATTGGAAACTTCGAATGGACAAGAATGGAATCATCATCAAATGCATTCGAATGGAATCATCAACCAATGGAATCGAATGGAATCGAATAGAGTCATCCAATGGAATAGAATTGATTCTTCATCGAAAGGAATTAAATGGAATCATTGAATGAAATCGAATGGAATCATCGTCGAGTGGAATCAAATGGAATCATGAACGAATGGAATTGAATGGAATCATAGAATGGAATCCAATGTAATCATCATCAAATTAAACTCAATGGAATAATCAAGTGGACTCAAATGGAATAATCGAATGGACTCGAATGCAATCATCATTGAATGGAATAGAATGGAATTATCGAATGCAATCAAATGGAATCATCATCCAATTTTATCAAACAGAATCATCGAATGGACACGAATGGAATCATCATCGAAAGGAATGGAATAGAATAATCGAATGGACTCGAATGGAATCATTGAATGGAATGGAATGGAATAATCAATGTACTCGAATGGAATCATCGAATGGAATGGAATGGAATAATCAATATACTCGAATGGAATAAACATCGAATGGAATCGAATTGGATCATTTAATGGACTCGAATGGAATCATCAACAAATGGAATCAAATGGAAACATCGAATGGACTCGTATGGAATCTTCATCGAATGGTATCAAATGTAATCATCGAATGGACTCGTATTGAATCTTCATCGAATGGAATCGAATGGAATCATTGAATGGACTCGAATGGAATCATTGAATGGACTTGAATGGAATCATCGAATGGACTCAAATGGAATCATCATCGAATGATATTGAATGGAATCATAGAATTTACTCAAATGGAAAAATCATCAAATGTAATTGAATGGAATCATCATCGGATTTAAATGAATGGAATCATCATCGAATGGAATCGAATGATTCATCGAATGGAATCAGATGGAATCATCATTGATTGGAATTGATTAGAATCGTCGAATGAAATCGAACGGAATCATCATCAAATGGACTCAAGTGGAATCACCATCGAATGGACTTGAATGAAATCATCATCCAGTGGAATCAAGTGGAATCAACATTGAATGGAATCGAATGGAAACACCATCGAAATGAATCGAATGGAATCATCACGGAATTGAAATGTATAGACTCATCATCGAATGGAATTGAATGGAATCATCATCGAATGGAATCGAATGGAATCATCGAATGGAATCGAATGGAATCATCATCGAATGGAATCAAATGGAATCACTGAATGGACTCGAATGGAATCATCATCAAATAGAATAGAATGGAATAATCTAATGCACTCAAAAGGAATCATCATCGAATGAAATCGAATGGAATCAACGAATGGACACGAATGGAATCATCATCGAATAGAATCGAAAGGAATCATCAAGTGGAATAGAATGCCGTCATGATTGAATGGAATCGAATGGAATCATCATTGAATAGAATCAAACGACATCATCAAATGGAATCAAATGGAATCATTGAATGGAGTCAAATTGAATGATCGAATGGAATTAAATAGAATCAGCATCAAACGAAATTGAATGGAATCATCATCGAATAGAATCGAATGGAATCATTGAATGGAATCATCATCAAATGGAGTCCAATGGAATCATCAAATGGACTCGAATGGAATCATCATTGAATAAAATCAAATGGAATCACCGAATGGGCTCGAATGGAATCATCATCAAATGGAATTGAATGGAATCATCAAATGGACAAGAACGGAATCATTGTTGAAAGGAATCGAATGGAATCATCGAATGTAATTGAAGGGAATTATCATGGAATGAAATAAAATGGAATCATTGAATGGACTCGAAAGGAATCATCATCGAGTGGAATCAAATAAAATCATGGAATGCACTTGAATGGAATCATCGAATGGACTACAATGAAATCAACATCGAGTGGAATTGAAAGGAAACTTTGAATGGAATTGAATGGAATCATCGAATGGAATCATAATTGAATGGAATCGAAAGGAATCATCGAATGGTGCCAAATGGAATGATCATCAGATGGAATGAAAAGGAATCATCGAATGGTCTCGAATGGAATCATCATCGAAGGGAATTGAAGGAATCATCAAGTGAAATCGAATGGAATCATCATCGAATGCAATCAAATGGAATCATCATCAAATGTAATCGAATGGATTCATCATCATATGGAATCGAGTGGAAGCATTGAATGGACTCGAAAGAAATCACTGTAGAATGGAATCGAGTGGAATCATCGAATGGAGTTGAATGGAATCATCATCAAATGAAATCGAATGGAATCATCGAATAGCATCGAATGGAGTCATCGTCGAATGGAGTCAAATGGAATCATCAAATGGACTCGAATGGAATCATAATGGAATGTAATCGAATGGAATCTTCAAAAGGACCCCAGTGGAATCATCATCGAATGCAATCAAATGGAATCATCATCAAATTTAATCGAATGGAGTCATCATCATATGGAATCCAGTGAAAGCATTGAATGGGCTCCAAAGAAATCATTGGGGAATGGAATCGAATGGAAACATCGAAAGGACTCAAATGGAATCAAGATCGAATGGAATCGAAAGGAATCATTGAATGGACTAGAATGGAATCATCATCGAATGGAATCGAACGGAATAATCGAATGACACGAATGCAATCATCATTGAATGGAATCTAATGGAATCAACAAATGGCATCGAATGGAATCATCATCGAAAGGAATCTAATGGAATAATCGAATGGACTCAAATGGAATCATCAAATGGAAATGAATGGAATCATCATCGAATGGAATAGATAGGAAACATTGAATAGCATTGAATGGAATCATCCTCGAATGGAGTCGAATGGAATCATCGAATGGACACAAATGGTATCGTTATGGAATGTAATCGAATGGAATCTTCGAATGGACTCGAATCAAATCATCATTGAATGCTATCGAATGGAATCATCATCGAATGGAATCGAATATAATCATCGTCGAATGCAATCGAATGGAATCATCATCGAGTGGAATTGAATCGAATCATCATCGAATGGAATCGAATGGAAACATCGAATGGAATAGAATTGAATCTTCATTGAATGGAATCAAATAGGATCATTGAATGAAATGGAATGGAATCATCATCGAAAGCAATTGAATGGAATCATCATTGAAAGGACTCGAATGGAATCATCGAACTGAATCAAATGGAATCATCATCGAATAAAATCAAGTGGAATCAACGAATGGACTCGAATGGAATCATCATCAATTGGAATTGAATGGAATAATGGAATGCACTCGAATGGAATCATCGAATGGACTCGAATGAAATCAACACCGAGTGGAATCGAAAGGAATCATCGAATGAACTTGAATGGCATCATCAAATGGACTCTAATGGAATCTTCATCAAATTGAATCGAATGGAATCATCGAATGTATTCGAATGGAATCATCATCGAATGGAATCAAATAGAACCATCAAATGGAATCGAATGGAATCATCATTGAATGGAATCGAATGGAATGATAGAGTGGAATCGAATGGAATCATCATCGAATGGAATCAAATGGAATCATCAAATGGAATCGAATGGAATCATCATTGAATGGAATTGAGTGGATTCATAAAATGGAATTGAATGGATTCATCATTGAATGGATTCGAATGGAATCATCATGGAATGGAATTGAATGAAATCATCATCGAATTGAATTGAATGGAATCATAATCGAATGTAATCGAATGGAATCATCAATGAATTAAGTTGAATGGAGTCATGCAATGGAAGGCTTTGGAATCATCATCAAATGGAACCGAACACAGACATCATCAAATGGAATCGGACGGAATTATTGAATGGACTCTAATGGTAACATCATCGACTGGTATCCAATGAAATCTTCAAATAGACTCAAAAGCAATCATCGAATGGACTCGAGTGGAATCATTATCGAATAGTATTGAATAGAATCATCAAATGGACTCGAATGGAATTATCATCGAATGGAATCGAATGGAATCATTGTATGGACTCGAATGGAATCATCATCTAATGGAATCGAATGGAATGATTGAATGGAATGGAATGGAATCATCATCAAATGGAATCCAATGGAAACATGGAATGGAATCTAATGGAATCATCATCAACTGGAATTGAATGGAATCATCGAATGGATTCAAATGCAATCATCATCGAATGAAATTGAATGGAATCATTGAATAGAATCGAATGGAATCATCGTCAAATGGAGTCGAAGGGAATCATACAATGGAATCGAATTGAATCGTCATGGAATGTAATCGAATGGAATCCTCGAATGGACTCGAATGGAATCATCATCGAATGGAATAGAATGGAATCATCATCGAATGGAATAGAATGGAATCATCATCGAATGGAATAGAATGGAATCATCATCGAATGTAATAGAATGTAATCATCATCGAATCGAATTGAATGTAATCATCATCAAATGGAATCATCATCAAATGGAATCATCGAATGGAATAGAATTGAATCATCATCGAATGGAATTGATTAGAATCATAGAATGAAATCGAGTGGAATCATTGAATGGAATAGAATTGAATCATCATCGAATGGAATCGATTAGAATCATAGAATGAAATCGAGTGGAATCATCATCAAATTTAATCGAATGGAATCGTGAACGAATGGAATCGAATGGAATCATAGAATTGAATCCAATGTAATCATCATCGAATTGAACCCAATGGAATCATTAAATTGAATCAAATGGAATCATTGAATGGAGTCGAATAGAATCATCATCAAATGTAATAGAGTGGAATCATCGAATAAAATCGAATGGAATCATCATTGAACTAAGACAAATGGAATCATCGAATGGACATGAATGGAATCATCATGGAAAGGAATAGAGTGGAATGATCGAATGGATTCAGATGGAATCATCATTCTATGGAATTGAAAGGAATCATCAAATGGACTTGAATAGAATCATTGTATGGACTCAAATGGAATCATCATCGAATTGATCTGAATGGAATCATTGAATGTACTCGAACGGAATCATCATCAAATAGACTCAAATGGAATGATCGAATGGACCCGCATAGAATCATCGAATGGGCTTAAATGGAATTATCGAATGGGTTCGAATGGAATCATGGAATGGACGAGAATGGAATCATTATCGAATGGAATCAAATGGAATCATCAAATGGAATTGAATGGAATCATCGAATGGAATCGATCAGAATCATCATCGAATGGAATCAAATGGAATAATCGAATGGAATCGATTGCTGTCGTCATCGAATGGAACCGAATGGAATCATCATTGAATAGAATCGAATGGAATCATCGAATGTAATCGAATGGAATCATCGTCGAATGTAATTGAAAGGAATCATCGAATGGAATCAAATGGAATCATCGAATGGAATTGAATGGAATCAGCATCGAATGAAATCGAATGGAATCACCATTGAATAGAATCGAATAGAAACATTGAATGGAATCATCATCAAATGGATTCCAATGGAATTATCAAATGGACGTGAATGGAATCATCATAGAATGGAATTGAATGGAATCATCAAATGGAATCGAAAGGAATCATCATCAAATGGAATCAAATGGTATAATCAAATGCATTCAAATGGAATCATCAACGAATGGTATAGAATGTTTTCATTGAATGGAATGGAATCATCTTCAATTGGAATGGAAAGGAATCACTGAATTGATTTAAATGGAATAATCATCAAAAGGCATCCAATGGAATCATCTAATCGAATCGAATGTGATCATCGTCAATGTAATCGAATGGAATCATCGAATGCAACACGAATGGAATCATCATCGTATGGAATCAAATGGAATTATCTAATGAAATCGAATGTAATCATCTTTGAATGGAATCAAATGGAAATATCATCGAACGGAATCGAAAGAATCAACAACAAATGGAGTCGAAAGGAATAGTCATCAAATGGAAACGAAAGGAGTCATCATCCAATAGAATCGCATGGAATCATCATCGAATGGAATCGAATGGAATCATCATCAAATGGATTCTAATGGAATCATGTAATGGAATTGAATGAAATCATCATCAAATGAAGTGAATAGAATCATCAAATGGCCAAGAAGGGAATCATCATCGAATGGAATCCAATGGAATCATCATTGAATGGAATTGAATAGAATCCTCATCGAATAGAATTGAATGGAATCATCAACGAATGGAATTGGATGGAATTTTCATCAATTTTCATCAAATAGAATTATATTTTCATCAAATGGAATTGGATGGAATCATCATGAAATTGAATCGAATGGGATCATCAAATGAAATCGAATGGAATCATCACCAAAACGAATCAAAATTAAACAAAGTATGGAATCCAATGGTATCATTGAATGGAATCGAACTGAATCATCATTGAATGGACTCGAATGGAGTCATCATCGAATGGAAACGAATGGAATCATTTAATGGACTCGAATGTAATCATTGAATGCACTTGAATGGAATCATCGAATGGAATCGAATAGAATCATCACCGAATGATATCAAATGCAATCACCGAATGGACTCGAATGGAAATATCATCGAATGGAGTCAAAAGAAATCATGGAATTCACTCGAATGGAATAATCGAATGGACTCAAATGGAATCAATATCGAGTGGAATCAAAAGTAAATGTCAAGTGGACTTCAATGGAATCATCGAATGGACTCGAATGGAATCATTAAATGGAATTGAAAGTAATCTTCGAATCCACTTGAATGGAATCATTGAATGTACTCGAATGGAATCATCATCGAATGGAATCAAATGGAATCATCAAATGGACCCGAATGGAATCACCATTGCATGGAATTGAATGGAATCATCGAATGGAATCCAATGGAATCATCATTGAATGGAATCTAATGGAATCGTCACTGAATGGAATCAAATGGAATCACCATCGAATGGAATATAATGGAATCATCATCAAATGTAAAAGAATGGAATCATCAACGAATGGAATCAAAACGAGAAATCGAATGAAATCCGTTAGAATCATCATCGGATGGAACCAAATGCAGTCATCATCGAATGGAATCGAATGGAATAATCAAATGGATTAGAAGGGAATCATCATAGAATGGAATTGAATGGAATCATCATCAAGTGGAATTGAATGGAATCATCAAATGGACCCGAATGGAATCATTGTTGAAAGGAATCAAATGGAATCGTTGAATGGCATTGAATAGAATCATCATCAAATGGAATCTAATGGAATCATTGAATGGACTCGAATGAAGTCATCATCAAATTGAATTAAATGAAATCATCGAATGGACTCAAATGGAATCATCGTCGTATGGAATCGAATGTGATCATCTTCAAATGGAATCATCGAATGGACTCGAATGGAATGATCAAACGGACTCGAATGGAATCATCAAAAGGAATCAAATGAAATCATTGAATGGACTCGAATGCAATTATCAAATGCACTCGAATGGAATGATCGAATGGACCCTAATGGAATCATGATCGAATGGAATCGAATGGAATTATCAACTGTACACGAATGGAATCATTGAATGGATTCAAATGGAATCATCGAATGCACTCAAATGGAATAATCTTTGAACGTAATCGAATGGAATCATCCACTGGAATTAAATGGAATCATCAAATGGAATCGAACGGAATCATCTTTGAACGGAAACGAATGGAATCATTGAATGGAATCAAAGGCAATCATTTTCGAATGGAATCAAATGGAGATATCATCGAATAGAATTGAATGGAATCATCAAATGTAATCGAATGGAATCATCATAAACGGAATCAAGTGGAATCATCGAATGGAATCTAATGGAATCATTGTCGAATGGAATGGAATGGAATCATTGAATGGAATTGAATGGAATCACCAATGAAGGGAATCGAATGGAATCATTGTCAAATGGAATCAAGTGGAATCATTGAATGGAATCTAACGGAATCATTGTCGAATGGAATGGAATGGAATCATTGAATGGAATTGAATGGAATCACCAATGAATGGAATCGAATGGAATCCCCATCAAATGGTTTCAAATGGAATCAGCAAATGGACTCGAATGGAATCATCATCGAATAGAAACTTGTGGAATCATCGAATGAACTCGTAATGAATCATAATGGAATGGAATGGAAATGAATCATCATCGAATGGAATCACATGGAATCATCATGGAATGGAATGGTACAGAATCATCATGAAATTGAATTGAATGGAATCATCAATTGGACTCGAATGGAATCATCAAAAGGAATTGAATTGAAGCATCGAGTGCACTCGAAAGGAACCATTATCGAATGGAATGGAATGGAATCATCGAAAGGACTTGAATTGCATCATAAAATGGACTCGAACGGAATCATTATAGAATGGAATCGAATAGAGTAATTGGATGGACTTGAAAGGAATCATTATGGAGTGGAATTGATAGGAATCATCGAATGCACTCGAATGGAATTATCATCTAATGGAATTGAATGGGATCATCGAATGGACTCGAATGGAAGCATCATCAAATGGAATCCTTTGGAACCATCGAAGGGAAAGGAATGGTATTATCGGATGGAATTGAATGGTATCATGTTTGAATGGATTCAAATGGAATCATCCAAAGGAATTGAATGTAATCGTCATCGAATGGAATCGTATAGACTCATTGAATGGAATCGACTGGAATCACCATTGAATGGACTCGAATGGAATCATCATCAAATAAAATCGAAAGGAGTCACCAAATGGACTCCAATGGAATCATCATCAAGTGGAATCGAATGGAATCATCGAATGGGATAGAATGTAATCATCATAAAATGTAATCATCATAAAATATAATCAAATGGAATCATCAAATGGAATCAAATGGAATCATCATTGAATGGAGTCGAATAGAACCATCGAATGGAATCGAATGGAATCAACATCAAATGGAATCGAATGGAATCATAGAATGGTATCGAATGGAATCATCATCGAATGGAATTGAAAGCAATTATTGAATTGACTCAAATAGAATCATTGAATGGACTGAATGGATTCATCATTGAATGGAGTAGAATGGAATCATCGAATGGACTCGAATGGAATCATCATTGAATGGAAAATAATGGAACCATCATCGAATGGAATCAAATGGAATTGTCTAACGGACCCGAATGTAATCATCACTGAATGGAATAAAATGGAATCATAATCAAATGGAATCGAATGGAATCATCTAATGGACCCAAATGGAATCACCATTGGATTGAATAGAATGGAATCGTCATTGAATGGAATAGAATGGAATCATCTAATGGACATGAATAGCATCAACATTGAATGGAATCTAATGGAATCATCTCATGTACTCGAATGGAATCATCATCTAATGGAATAGAATGGAATCATCAAATGGAAACGAATGGAATCTCCATCGTTTGGAATCGAGTGCAATCATCGAATGGACTTGAATGTAATAATCAGAGAATGGAATCGAATGGAATCATCGAATGGATTCGAATGGAATCATCATCGAATGGAATCAAATGGAATCATCTAATGGACACGAATAGCATCAACATTGAATGGAATTGAATGGAATCATCTAATGTACTCGAATGGAATCATCATCTAATGTAGTAGAATGGAATCATCGAATTGAATCTAATGGAGTCATCATCGTATGGAATCGAGTGGAATTATCGAATGGACACAAAAGTAATCATTAGAGAATGGAATCGAATGGAATCATCTAATGGACTTGAATGCAATCAACATTGAATGGAATATAATGGAGTCATCATCGAGTGGAATCAAATGGAATCATCTAACGGACCTGAATGGAATCATCACTGAATGGAAAAAAAAGTAATCAAAATTGAATGGAATCTAATGGAATCATCTAATTGACAGGAATGGAATCATCATTGGACTGAAAAGAATGAAATCATCATCGAATGTAATCGAATGGAATCATCTAAAGAACATGAATAGCATCATAATTGAATGGAATTGAATGGAATCAACTAATGTTTTCGAATAGAATCATCATCTCATGGAATAGAATTGAATAATCGAATGGAATCGAATGGAGTCATCATCATATGGAATCGAGTGGAATCATCAAATGGACTCGAAAGTAATCATCAGGGAATGGAATCGGGTGTAATCATCGAATGAACTCGAATGGACTCATCATCAAGTGTAAAGGAATGGAATCTTCTAATGGACCCAAAGGGAATCATCATCGAATGGAATCGAATGGAATTATTGAATGGACTCGAGTGAAATCATCATTGTTATAATCAAAAGCAATCATCAAATGGATTCAAATAGAATCATCAAATGGCTCGAATGGAATCAGCATCAAATGGAATCACATGGAATCACCGAATGGACTAGAATGGAATCGTCATCGAGTGGAATCGAATGTAATCATCGAATGGACTCGAATGGAATCATCATCGATTGGAATCAAATGGAATCACTGAATGGACTCGAATGGAATCATCATCAAATGGAATCAAAGGGAATCATTGAATGAACTCAAATGCAATCATCATTGAATGGAATCGAATGGAATCATCATCGAATGGAATCAAATGGAATCATTGAATGTACTCAAATGGAATGATCACCGAATGGAATCATATGGAATCATTGAACTGACTCGAATGGAGTCATCATCAAATGGAATCGAATGGATTCATTGAACGGACTCTAATGGAATCATCATCGAATGGAATCAAATGGAATCATCAATTGAACACGAATGGAATGATCGAATGGACTCTAATGGAGTCATCATCGAATGGAATCAAATGAAATCATCATCCGATGGAATCATCACTGAGTGGAATCAAATGGAATCATCGAATGGAATGATATGGAATCATCTTCGAATGGAATCAAATAGAAGCATCATATGATATCCAAAGTAATCATCAATGAACGGACTCAAATGGAATCATCAACAAATGGACTCGAAAGGAATCATCATCGAATGCAATCTAATGGAATCATCATCGAATGGAATCAAATGGAAATATCATCGAATTGAATCAAATGGAATCATGATGCAATTGAACTGAATGGCTCATCATCGAATGGAATTGAATGGAATCATCGAATAGAATCAAATGGAATCATCATTGAATGGCATCAAATAGAATCATCGAATGGAATCGAATGGAATCATCATCAAAAGGAATCGAATGGAACCATCGAAAGAAGTTGAATGAAATCACCACTGTATGGAGTCGAATGGAATCATTATCGAATGGAATCTATTGGAATCATCAATTAAGAGAATTGAATGGAATCATCATCGAATAGTATCAAATGGAATCATCAACAAGTGGAATCAAATGGATTCATCGAATGGAATCCCATGGAATCATCATCAAATGGAACCGAATGGAATCATTGAATGGACTCGAATGGAATCATCATTGAATGGACTATAATGGAATCATCATTGAGTTGAATCGAATGGTGTCATTGAATGGACTCAAGAGGAAACATCGAATGGACTTGAATGGAAACATCATCGAATGGAGTCAAATGGAATCATCGAATGGCAACAAAAGGCATCACCAATGAATGGAATCTAAGGGAACAATCGAATGGACTCAAATGGAATAATCAAATGGACTCGAGTGGAATCATCATTATATGGAATCTTCAAAAGGACTCGAAGGAATCTTCATCAAATGGAATCGAATGGAATCATCAAATGGACTCGAATGGAATCATTGTCAACTGGAATCTAATGGAATCATCGAACGGACTTGAATGGAATCATCATCGAATGGGATCGAAGGGAATCATCAAATGGCATCGAATGGAATCATCATTGAATGGAATGGAATGGAATCATATAATGGACTCGAATGGAATCATCATAGAATGGTATCGAATGGAATCTATGTATGGACTCGATTGAAATCTTCATCGAATGCAATCGAGTGGAATCATCCTCGAATTAAATCGAATGGAACCATCATCGAATGGAATGGAATGGAATCATCCAATGCAATAGAATTGTATCATCATTAAATGGAATCAAATAGAATAATCGAATGAAATCGAATGAAATCATAATTGATTGTAAATGAATGGAA
Organism: Homo sapiens; assembly: GCF_000001405.40. Taxonomy (NCBI): domain Eukaryota; kingdom Metazoa; phylum Chordata; class Mammalia; order Primates; family Hominidae; genus Homo; species Homo sapiens. The sequence continues at coordinate 125,152,545 of NC_000001.11, read as the reverse complement.
TAATCATAGTTTGGAATCGAATGCAATCATCATCGAATGGAATAAAAAGGAATCATCCAATGGAATATAATTGAATCATCATCGAATGGAATCGAATAGAATCATCAAATGGAATTGAATAGAATCATCGAATGAAATCGAATGGAATAATAATCGAATGGAATCAAATGGAATCATCATCTAAAGGAATCGAATGGAATCATCATCGAATGGAATCGAATTTAATCATCCAATGTAATAGAATTGAATCATCATCGAATAGAATCATAGAATGAAATCGAATGCAATCATCATCGAATGGACTCGAATGGAGTCATCGAATGGACTCGCATGGAATCATCATCGAATGGAATAGAATGGAATCATCAAATGGAATCATCATCCAATGAAATCAAATGGAATCATCGAATGGACTCGAATGGAATCATCATCGAGTGGAATTGAATGGAATCATTGAATGGACTCGAATGGAATCATCATCAAATGGAATTGAAAGCAATCATCAAATGGACTTGAATGGAATCATTGAATGGACTCGAATGAAATCATCATCAAATGAAATCGAATGGAATCATCGAATGGACACGAATGGAATCACCATCGAATGGAAACGAATGGAATCCTAGAATGGAAACGAATGGAATCACCATTGAATGGAATGAAATGGAATCGTCATCGAATTGAATCTAATGGAATCATCATGTAATGGAATCGAATGGAATCATCATAGAATGGAATCGAATGGAGATATCAAATGGAATCGGCTGGAATCATCATCAAATGGAAACGATTGCAGTCATCAACGAATGGAATTGAATGGAATCATCGTCGAAAGGAATCGAAAAGAATCATAGAATGGAATCGAATGGAATCATCGAATGGAATCGAATGGAATCATCATCGAATGGACTCGTATGCAATTATCAGCGAATGGAATTGAATGGAACCATTGAATGGACTCGAATGGAATAATCGAATGGACTCAAATGGTATCATCAAACTGAATCGAATGGAATGATCAAATGAACTCGAATGGAATCATCATCAAATGGAATCGGATGGAATCATCAAATGGACTCGAATGGATCATCAAATGGACTTGAATGGAATTATCAAATGGTCTCAAAAGGAATAATCACATGGACCCTAATGGAATCATCATCGAATGGAATCTAATGGAATCATCAAATGGACTCGAATGGAATCATTGAATTGACTCGAATGAAAACATCAAATGGATTCGAATGGAATCATTTTTGAATGGAATCGAATGGAATCCTTGAATAGAATCAAATGGAATTATGAAATGGAATCGAACGGAATCATCATTGAATGGAATCGAATGGAATCATCGAATGGAATCGAAGGCAATAATCTTTGAATGGAATCAAATGGAATCATCAAATGGAATCGAATGGAATCATCTTCAAGTGGAATTGAGTGGAATCACCGAATGGAATCGAATGGAATCATTGTCGAATGGAATGGAATGGAATCAATGAATGGAATTGAATGGAATCACCAATGAATGGAATTGAATGGAGTCATCATCGAATGGAATCAAATGGAATCATCATAGAATGGAATCGTGTGAAATTATCTAATGGGCACGAATAGAATAATCATCCAATGGAATCGAATGGAATCATCATCAAATAGAATCGAATGGAATCACTCAATGGACCCGAATGGAATCATCATCAAATGGAGTCGAATGGAATCATCTAATGGACTCAAAAATAATCATCATCGAATGAAATCGAATGGAATCACCGAATGGACAAGAATGAAATCATCATAGAATAGAATCGAATGGCATCAACAAATTGACAAAAATTGAATATAATCAAAATAAATCAAAAGCAATCATCGAATGGACTCAAATGGAATTATTGAATGGACTCGAATGGATTCACCCAATGGACCCGAATGGATTCATAATCAAATGAACTCTAATGGAATGATCGAATGGACTCGAATGGAATCATCAATTGGACTCAAATGGAATTATCAAGTGAGCTCGAATGGAAACATCGAAGGGACTTCGAATGGAATCATTATCAAATGGATTCAAAAGGAATCATCAAATGGAATAGAATGGAATCATCGAACAGAAATGATCAGAATCATCAACGAATGGAATCAAATGGAATCATCAAATGACTCGAATGGAACAATTATCGAATTGAAACAAATGGAATCACCGAATGGAATCAAATGGAATCATCGAATGGAATCGAATGGAATCATTGAATGGAATTCATCAGAATAATCATCGAATGGAATCAAATGGAATCATCGAATGGAATTGAATGGAATCAGCATCGAATGAAATCGAATGGAATCATCATTGAATAGAATCGAATGGAATATTGGAATGGAATCATCATCAAATGGAGTCCAATGGAATCATCAAATGGACTCGAATGGAATCATCATAGAATGGAATTGAATGGTATCATCAAATGCACACGAATGGAATCATCAATGAATGGTATTGAATGGTATCATCGAATGTAATTGAATGGAATCATCTTCGATTGGGAACGAAAAGAGTCACCTAATGGACTCGAATGGAATAATAATTGAAAGGAATCGAATGGAATCATTGAATGGATTCATTGAACGGACTCGAATGGAATCATCAAATGGACTCGAATGGAATCATCATCGTATAGAATCGAATTGAATTATCATCGAATGTAATCAAATGGAAACATCATCAAACGGAATCGAAAAGTATCAACATCAAATGGAGTCGAATGGAATCATCATCGAATGGAATCCAAAGGAATCATCATCGAATTGAACCGAATGGAATCATCATAGAATGGAACCGAAAGGAGTCATCATCGAACAGAATCGCATGAAATCATCATCGTATGGAGTCAAATGGAATCATCATTAAATGGAATTGAAAGGAATCATCAAGTGGACTTGAATGGAATCATTCAAAGAACTCGAATGGAATCATCATCGAATGAAATCGAATGGAGTCATTGAATGCACACAAATGGAATCATCGAATGCAATCGAGTGGAATCATCGAATGCAATCGAATGGAATCATCATTAAATGGAATCGAAAGGAATAATCATCGAATGGAATCGAATGGAATCATCATCGAAAGGATTCTAAGGGAATCATTGAATGAAATCGAATGGAATAATGCAATTGAATCGAATGGAAACATCATCGAATGGACTCCAATGGAATTATCATCGAATGGGATCATCGAATGGACTCGAATGGAATAATCGAATGGACTCATATGGAATCATCAAATGGAATCAAATGGAATCATTGAATGGAATGAAATGGAATCATCATCGAATGCAATCAAATGGAATCATCAAATGGACTGGAATGGAATCATTGAATGGACTCGAATGGAATGATCATCGAATGGAATAGAGTGGAATCCTCGAATGTAATCAAATGGAATCATCAAATGGAATCGAATGGAATCTTTGAATGTAATTGAATGCAATCCTCATCTAATGGAATCGAATGGAATTATCATCGAATAGAATCAAATGGAATCATCGAATGGAATCAAGTGGAGTCATCGTCAAGTGGAATCAAGTGTAATCATCGAATGGAATTGAATGGAATCATTGTCAAATGGAAAGTAATGGAATCAATGAATGGAATTGAATGGAATCACCAATGAATGGAATGAAATGGAGTCATCATCGAATGGAATCGAATGGAATCATCGAATGGACTCAAATAGAATCATCATCGAATGTAATCATGTGGAATTATCTAATGGTGAAGAAGAGAATCATCATTGAATGGAATCGAATGGAATCGTCTAATGTACTCGAATGGAATCATCATTGAATGGAATAGAATGGAATCATTGAATGGAATTGAACGGACTCATCATTGTATGGAATCGAGTGGAATCATAGAATGGACTCGAACGCAATCATCGGAGAATGGAATCAAATGGAATCATCAAATGGACTCGAATGGAATCATCCTCGAATGAAATCAAATGGAATCATAGAATGGACTCGAGTGGAATATTCATCGAATATAATCAAAAGCAATCATCAAATGGATTCGAATAGAATTGATTGGAATCATCATCTAATGGAATCAAATGGAATCATCGAATGGACTCGAATGAAATCATCATCGAATGGAATCGAATGGAATCATCGAATGGATCCGAATGGAATCATCATCAAATGGAATCAAATGGAATCACTGAATTGACTCGAATGGAATAATAATCAAATGGAATCGAATGGAATCATCTAATGGACTGCAATAGAAACATCATCGAATGGAATCATCTATTGTACCCAAATGGAATCATCATAAAATGGAATCAAATGGGATCATCGAATGGACTCGAATGGAATAATCATCGAATGGAATCGAATGGAATCATCTAATGGACCCGAATGGAATCATCATTGAATGGAATAGAATGGAATCATCGAATGGAATTGAACGGAATCATCATTGTACGGAATTGATTGGAATCATCGAGTGGACTCGAATGTGATCATCGGAGAATGGAATCAAATGGAATCATCAAACGGACTCGAATGGAATTATCATCGAATGGAATCGAATGGAATCCTCGAATAGACTCGAGTGGAATCATCGTCGAATATAATCAAAAGCAATCATCAAATGGATTCGAATACAATCATTGAATGGACTTGAATGGAATCATCATTGAATGTATTCAAATGGAATCATTGAATGGACTCGAATGAAATCATCATGAATGGAATCGAATGGAATCATCATCGAATGGAATCGAATGGAATCATCATCGAATGGAATCGAAAGGAATCATCATCAAATGGAATCAAATAGAGTCATCAATGAATGGAATCGAATGGAGTCTTCGACTGGAGTCCGTTAGAATCATCATCGAATGGAACCGAATGCAGTCATCATCTAATGGAATCAAATGGAATCATCGAATGGACTCGATGGAATCATCATCACATGGAATCGAATGGAATCATCGAATGGACTCAAATGGAATCATCACTGAATGGAATCGAATGGAATAATCGACTAGACAGGAATGGAATCACCATCGAATGGAAGCGAATGGAATCTTCGAATGGAATTGAATGAAATTATTGAATGGAATCTAATAGAATCATCATTGAATAGAATCAAATTGGATCATCATCGAATAGACTCTAATGAAATCAACATCGAATGGAATCTAGTGGAGATATCATCTAATGGAATTGAATGGAATCAGCAAGGAATGGAATCGAATGGAGAAATTGAATGGAATCCGTTGGAATCATCATCGAATGGAACCGAATGCAGTCATCATATAATGGAATTGAATGGAATCAATGAAGGGACTTGAATTGTGTCATCATTGAATGGAATCGGATGGAATCATCAAATGGACTCAAACGGAATCATCGAATGGACTCGAATGGAATCATCATCGAATGGAATCAAATGGAATCGAATTGAATCATTGAATGGACTCTAATGGAATAATCATCGAATGGAATCGAATGGAATCATCGAATGGACTCGAATGGAATCATTGAATGGACTCGAATGGAATCATCATCGAATGGAATCGAGTGGAATCTTCAAATGGAATCAAATGGAATCATCTAATGGTATCGAAGAGATTTATGAGAAACTTACTTGAACCAAACAATAGAAAAACAAACAAACCACAACCCCCTAAAACTGTGATGAGCAAAGTAGACATCAGAACAGGAAATATCACTGTGGATGAAGAATAACATTTCAAAACGAAAAAGGGGAAAATACACCAAGAAGTCATGTAAATAAGAAATATGTATGCACACAATAGCATTACTTCAAAATACATAATATAAAACCTATTAAAACTGAAAGGTAAAATAGTAAAACCATAGTCATCCATGGGGGTTTCAACAGTCTACTGCCAGAAATTTTTAAATTTTGTTAAACAAAATGTTGGGAAAGGTAGAGAGGTTCTTAAAAATATAATTAGCTAATTTGATCTAATTGAATCTTTTAGAATAATCTAAGGATGAGGAATGAGGTAGCAGAGAGAGCAAAGGCAGATATCAAGGTGACATTAGTGTTTCAAGGCTATGAGAATACACCAATCATGGTGTGTGTGTGTGTGCAGATGGTAAGCTCAATCTTAAAAATGTTGAGTTTTAACTGACAATTCATTATTAGGAAAGATAAGAGGAAATGATATCTAGTGAGAGGCTATATGACTGAACTCTAAGAGTAAGGTCACAGCAGAAATCGTGTACTTGACAGCTCTATAAGGAGGTTAGTCAAAAATAAGTCAGTGATGAATTCTCTGGTGTAAAAACAGAGGAATGAGGATTAGATTGAAAACACATGGAAGCAGAGTGACTTATGATAAAAACATGAGCTTGAAAATCCTGCAGAGAGGGCTTTAAATCCTGGGTATGATATTCTGCTTGTGTAGGCAATAGTGATAAAAACACAACAACAAAGAGAGGTAAAGAGCACTTACCTCTGATGTAAATAAAGGGCACGTCTTATTGCACATATATATACAGGTATTCAACTGACATTCAACATGTTTCTCTCATTGAAACAGCAAGCTCTGCAGGCCTTCATGTTCCCAGTGAGGTAGGTAACCTTCTGATGATTATACTCACCCTCTCATTGCAAAGCTCCCATTGTTATTGTCTTGGCTCTGGATTCCCTCAAAAATAGACTATGAAACAAATATCTGTGGTCAGATACTTTAATCAGAAATTGGGTGAGAAAGCACAGAAGTGGAGAAAATGAAACAGAACACGAATCCAGTGTGAATGAGTAGTTACTGCTATGTGCTCAGTAATGATGGAGGTATGGAGATTGTGTCAAAATAACTTTACAAAGAGATGGGGATGCTGGAATCCCCATCTCTTATTGCTTAAGGATTGCCTTAGAATCATTAACTCTCCACCCCTAACTCCTTCTTTGTTCCTATGTGTGGTTGAGAAGCACTGGTTAGCCTCAAGAAGCTTACAGGCAGGCCCAAAAATCAGAAAGACAGGCATGATGTGGGGAGCTCTCAGTTAGCTGGAAACAGGTGAATTTCAGGTGAACACATTGAGTCCAGGACATAGAAGACAAGTCATCAGCAATATCTGCTATAGCCAGTTTTCTTTTTCTTTTTAAGAATATATATATACATTTTATTGGGGGTCCCCAAGTCCCCCTTCGGTTTAATGATTCACATAACCCAAGAAAGCTGATTTTTCTGTGTGGTTATAGTTTCTAACAGTGAAAGAAACCAGATTAAAATAATCAGAAGCATAAAAGCACATAAAGTTGAGTCCAGGACAAACCAGATGTGAGCTTACAGGTGTCCTTTCATAGTGGGGATTTCACACTGACTACTTTTCTTTACAATGGTGTGAGACAACATGTGTGAACTTGTTGCCAACTAGAGAAGCTCAGTCAGTCTTGAGTCCAGGGTTTTTATTAGGATTCCACCACATATGCATCGAGCGTCCTGTGACTGAACATAGCTACTCAGTTCACAACCTCCCTATGCCTTAAGAGAGGTCATATTAATATGGCATTACACAAAGTCATAGGCATACAGAAACAGGTGCTCACAAGAAATCAAGTTGTTAGCATCTGCTATTTGATATGACCTACGTTTACATGTATGCAAAGACTCACATCAGGCAACATATACCAAGGGCTCATAGGTTATCATCTCCCAGGAGCTTGTCAAGGGCCAGTCCTGAAGACGTTTGGAATGCACAAGGTTTTGGAAAGCCATGTCTGCAGAATTAACCCTTCATTACACAACCTCCAAGACTTTTTTTTAACTTTAAAAATGTTCTTTGATCTTTGACAATGTACCAACCAATACTGAGTAATTAGTAACAACAGTGTACTCCTGAGTACTTGCACCTGCAAGGAGAAAAAGGACAGACGCACTTACATAGGACAGATGCACATAGACACCACTATGACAAGTAAAGCTGGAATAATCAATAAATTCCTAAAGACAAAGTGGGGCTGGTGAGATTGGGAGACCGCTGACAGCTGCAGAAGTTGGGAAAGATCCATCATCTTGAAAACTTTTTCCCCACTAGCCCACTGCGATCTCTCAAGCAATTGGTAAGGAATCCAAGAGAGTCTGTATATGACACAGATAAGGGAGAACAGAACACTTCGGAGGTGACCAGGTCTTGGGGGTCGAGCCCATATGAATGGGATTAGTGTCTTTATAAAAGAAGCTCAATGGAGTTCTTTTGTGCCTTCTACTGTGTGAGGACATAGAAAGAAGGCACTATCTATGAACCATGAAATGGGCTCTCATCAACACTGAATTTGTGAGCATCTTGACCTGAGATCTTACAGCCACAAGAAGTGTGAAAAAAAATATCTGTTGCTTTTTAGTCACTCAGTTTATGTTATTTTGTTATAAGAGTCCAAATAGAGCAAGATATTCCACTTCATATGTAGGGGAAGGCAACAAAAACTGCCACACTTAGAATACTCCTGATGCTGGGAGTATGAAAACAAGAAAAACAAAACAAAACTGCTCTTGAAGGTGAAGGAGGAATATCACTGAGGTCACCAACACAGCCAGGAAAAGAACAGAAGTGTGAGAAGGCTACATTCCTGAGACACTGAGAAAAAGTACCTGCAGAAGACTGAGAACAAATTACCTACTCTAGTTATGAATGAAATTCCAAAAAGAAGAGAGGGAAAAATAATGGAGAAAAGAAATATTTTTCAAAATAACTGCCAAAAATATTCTAAAAGAAGTGACAGAAAATCAAACTTCAAATATAGGAAACTCAGAGAATGTCAAATAGAAAAAAATAAATAAGAATTACATCTTGAAAAATCTTTAAAAAGTCAAGTCTAAATTTTATATCTTGCTCCAAATATATAGAGATATAAAGAGGTTATCATCAAGATATGGAGAAAGCCATATCATGGAAACATTAAAATAAGGCTGTGGAAGGACTACATTGATATTAGCCACAACAGAGTTCAGAACAAGAAATAGTATCAGAGATGAGAGATAACAGATAATAGAATCATCAATTCTCAAGAAGATGTAAACATCCTACTAATTAGGGTATGCAGCTAACAATAGAATCTCCAAATACATGAGGTATAACAGGAAAGAAATCAAAGGTGAACTAGAAAAATCAAAGTTATATTTGCAGAGTTCAACACTTTTGTCTTAGTAATGGAAGACTAGGCACAAACTCAGTAATCATGTGGAAGTTAAGAACAACAATATCACCAACAAGACATCCAATCTTCAATGACAGATACTCTTCTTTACAAGTGAAAAAAAAACAGTATGGCATATTCTCTAACAAACCCAGAATTTATAACATTTGCGTTCTTCCATACTTCTTTCCATCTTCCTTTCTCTTCTCTTCCCTTCCCTTGCCTTCTTCCTTCCTTTCTACTTTTCCTCTTCCTTTTCTTTTTTCTTTTCCTTTCTTTCTTTTCTTTCTTCTCCTTCATTCCTTCTTTGTTTCTTTCCTCTTATTCTTCCTTCTCTAATCCCTCCCTTCCTTTCTCCCTCCGTTTTCTTCCTTCTTTTCTCATGTTCTTTCTTTCTTTCTCACGTTCTTGCTTTCTTTCCTTTTTTCTTCCTTCCTCCCGCCCTCCATTTGTTCCTTCCTCCCTCCCTTCTTTTCCTCTTTTTCCTTCCTTCCTTCGCCTCTTTTATTTTCTTTGTTTCTTTGCCTTCCTCCCTTTTAGCATTCTCTCTGCCTCCTTTCCTTCCTCCCTTCCTCCTTTCTTTCATTCTTTCTTTCTCTCTTTCTTTCTCTTTCTTTCTTTCTTACTTTTTCTTTCTTCTTTCTTTCTTTCTTTCTTTCTTTCCTTCTTTCTTTACTGTGTTCATGCTTTCCGTTTTCTCCCTTCCTGCCTTTCTCCCTTCCTCCCTCCCTCACTTCCTTCCCTCATTTCCTCTTTCTTTTCTTCTTTCTTTATTCCTTCCTTCCTTCGTTCCTTCCTTCTTTTTCTTTCTTTTTTTCTTTTCTTTCTTTCTCTTTACAGCAATTCATATTATTTTAAAAAAATTAAGAGAGAGAGACAGAAAAATATAGAACGCTTTAATCTGCAGGTAAATATATTATGTCTGCTCTAGGCCAAAGAATGGCCTCCCACAAATTTTCATGTCCTAATTCCCAGAGTCTAACATACAAATATGTTAAGTTGCACGGCAGTGTGAAACTAGATTTCAAGTGAAATTAAGGTTGCAGAAAAATGATAGAGAGATTGTCTTAAATGGGTGGGATCAATGAAATCACAAACTTCCTTATAAGTGAAAGAAGAAGGCAGAAGAAAGACAACCTTGGGGGTGGTGGCATGAGAAATTACTCAACATTACTGACTTTTTAGATACAAGAATGAGGACCCAGTGCGGTAGCTCACGCCTAATCCCATCACTTTGGGAGGCTAGGGTGGGTTTATCACGACGTCAGGAGATCGAGACCATCCTGGCTAACATGGTGAAACCCCATCCCTACTAAAAATACAAAAAATTAACTGGGTGTGGTGGCAAGTGTCTGTAGTCCAAGCTACTCAGGAAGCTGAGGCAGAATAATCACTTGAACCCAGGAGGCAGAGGTTGCAGTGAGCTGAGATCGTGCCACTGCACTCCAGCCTGGGTGACAGAAGGAGACTCCATCTCAAAAAAAAAAAAAAGAAAAAGAAAAATAGGATCTAAGAATGAGGTCATGTTCCAAGGAATAAAGGTGGCCTCTGGATGCTGAAAAATATCAAGTAATAGATTCTGCCAAGTAGCCCTCAGAAAGACTGCAGCCCTGCCCAAAACTTGATGTTAGCCATGTGAGTTTAATTTAAGGCTTCTGAACTAGAGAACTGTGGGATTAACGGTCACTTTATTGTAAGATATGAAGTTTATGGTAATTGGTTACAGCAGCAAGAGGAAATTTATATTGTAATTGTATCATGAAAATGAGAACCATAATTTACAACTGCTTTTAATACTGCACTTGGATGTTTGAAATCACGTACATGGAAATGATCTCTATGTGCATGAGGGAGGATAGCAAATTGATGCCAAAATAATGCAAATGCAAATCTTACACACATTTCTATGTAGGTTTCATTTAATCTTTGAAATTAAAATGAAATTAAAAGATTGTGATCTTTTGATGAAATTAGACTGAAATGAACACTAACAAAATAAGAACTTACTTATATTCTTTATATGGTCAATAAAGAAGTGATAGTGGAAAAAAAACAAGATCAAATGAAGGTGATGATGTAGGAAGTTGGAAAGATAGCTGAAACTACAAAATGGTATATAGCCAGTGAACAATTAGACACAATGATTGATGAACTTCAGCTTTTGGCTTGGTGAGAGCATAAAATGAGAGCAGCTGAGGTTTGCCAATTTGTAATCTCCTTGTGGAAAAACAGGGGAAAACACATCTCAGCCTAATAAGATTTATCTACTAAAGAGTCTAGACTTGATCCATTTGTCCTTGTAATTCAAAAGCTAATTCAAATACTGATTTGATGTGTTGTGTGAACAACCATTGCTGATTATCATCGCATACCTGGCATTCTCTTGTATCTGATATCTAAAATATTTGGTAATTCCTGGACTTTCTCTTTTCAAACCCAGGACGGTTTAATTTGAGTCTTAGAACAGTTGTCTTTGAGAAATTCTTCCCTCTACTGCATCTGTGAATGGGCATAGCATGGTTACATACATACTGTCACTCCATAGAACATTTGTTAAATTAAAGCCAAAGTTTAAAGCAAGAGCTTTAACTTACAGGTTTTACTAATGTTTTCCTCCCCAATAGCCACAACAATATTGATACCCTCACACCTTTTAACATAAAGCTTGGTGTTGTCTATTTTTCAGGTGCTGTCATCTATATGATCTCAGTATTTTAAAAATCAGCTTCCATCCCGTATGGTGGTTCATGCTTGTAATACCAGCATTTGAAGAGGCTGAAATGAGAGGATTCCTTGAGCCCAGGAGTTCACAAGCAACCTGGGCAACACAGCAAGACCCAGTCTCTATCAAAAGTTAAAAAAAAAAAGTGGGCATGGCGATGTGCACCTGTTGTCCTAGCTATTTGGGAGCCCAAGGTGGATGGATTGCTTGAGCTTGGGAGGCTGAGGCTGCAGTGAGCAGTGATTGCACCACTGCATTCCAGCCTGGACAACAAAGCAAGACCCTATCTCAAAAAATATACATAATAAAAATAAAAATCAACTATGATTTATTTCTATGTAAATATGCACAGGTGATGTCCATGTAGACATAAATAATAATTTTTCTGACAATGGGTCCATATGATCTTCAAAATGTAAAATGCCTGTCTGCGTAATTGAATGGTTAGTCTCATTAATGAATACAGATTCAATTCTACTTTCTTGTTCTAGATAAATTATATAATCTAGCTTTCATTTCACATATTTACTGATAACAACAGGAAGAATGACAAGATATCTATTTTGGAAAATTACTCTGGTAGGAGTAAAGATGAAACAATGATACAATTGCACGGAAAACTAGAAAAAAGTATGGTCTTCTGATATTCTATCACATCACATATTAAAGGCCTCATAAAACTCAGATATTTTATCTAAAAATATTATTTTCATCATAGGAATGATCAAAGCATGAGACAACAATTGTATTAAAATGTGCTTGTATCACAAGCACAGGTGCTGAAAAGGAGGGGAAAACATCCTTACTGATATTTTCAACGTATGTTTTACTTTTCATCAACATGAACCTCAACTTGATATGATGCAGATTGAAGGAAATCACCCATAATTCCATAGGAAGAAGGCCTGTGATATTTTATGGGAAAATAAATAGAGAAAATGCTAACAGAAACCCTGTTAAGCATGAAGCTTTATGGAGCAAACAGAAATCCAGTGGTGAAACACACTCGAGTTCTGTTTGTTGTCTTGGAACAATACGGTTTAGAGGTGACTGGAGGGTGAGGAGAACATATGCGAGTTCACCTAAGAGAAAAGCTGAATGAGGCAATGCCTCTTCCTGACCATATCTCTTACTCAGATAACTATAGAATTTATTGTCCAGTAAAGGGTATATTAAAAAATCATATTAAAAGTCATACAGTGAAGTTGTCCAGGGAAATCAAGACTTAACAGTCTCACTCTGACAATAATGAACAGGGGGATTCCCAAAAGATAGACTAGGACATGACCCCACACTGGCAGGTAGTAGTACCAGAAAAGAACGCATGGAAAATCTTTACCTTATGCTTGAGGTAGGGACCAGGCTAAAGTGAAAGCCAGAACTAAAATTCTATCTAAAATAAATCCACAATCGAAGAAAATATGTGGTGTACAGGCATAGAATGTCTTTACTGTATCATTGAAATAGTAAGATAAATTCAACTTTTTACATTGTTTTCTTTTCCTCCAGTTAGGGCTTCATGTTTGTCTCTGGAGAGTGACCGACAATTGCAGCCCTGCCTTTCTGGGGTTCTGGTCAGGGGGTTGTGGATGCTTAACATGTGCCTTTCACAGGACACTTCCTTACCCCAGCAGTGGCCAGGTGTGCATCCCACGACCAGGCCTCCCTCTCACAGAACATCTGTTGAGACTAGGAGATGCCTGGTGACTGTTGCCTGACCTGTGTCCTGTGTATTGCTGACAAGAGCCACTCTCAGAGACCCTGGCCAGGAGGAGAGTTAGGTTCCAGTGTAGGTCAGCTCAGACACATGGAGGCCACACAACCAAACATGGGAAATCACAGAAGTAGGTTTATTACTCACAGATCCAGAGAGAAGAGGGTAGCTGAGAAGAGGGTTTAGCTGTGTCCCCAGCCAAATCTCATCTTGAATTCCCACATGTTGTGGGAGGGAACAGCTGGGAGGTAATTGAATCACGAGGGCAGGTCTTTCCCATGCTGTTCTTCTGATAGTGAATAAGTCTCACAAGATCTGATGGTTTTATAAAGGCGAGTTTCTTGCACAAGCTCTCTTGTCTTGTCTGCTGCCAGGTGAGACGTGCCTTTCGGCTTGTGCCATGATTGTGAGGCCTACCCAGCCATGTGGAACTGTGCATCTATTAAATCTCTTTCTTCTGGAAATTACCCAGTCTTGGGCATGTCTTTACCGGAGGGGTGAAAATGGACTAATACAGTAGCACACGTCATAGGGCTGAACAAATTGGGGAAGATGAGTGGGGAGCAGGAGAGAGAAAAGGGGTCTGTGGGACTCCAGCCTTTATTGGGCCCAGAACATTATCCAAATAAGTTTTCCACGCTGGCACTAGTCGGTGGGGTGAGTGCCAGCAGGCACATTTCTTGACTCCTGCTGCAATCAAGCAGGTCACTCTGGTGTGTGGAGGCTGTCCATGTGCACTGTGAGGTCTGTGGGGTGAGTCAGGTAGGTTGTATCCAACGGTTCCATAGCTGGTAGTCACCAGGAGGAGGCAACAGTGTAGGGTCAATATCTGGGCCAGCCACACTGAGGAACTGTGAGGGTTAGAACTGGAAATTGTCAAGGGAATCCAAACCCAGCTACCATATGAGAGAGTTCAACTTATGTTCAATGTGAATGCCATGGCAATATTAAAAGGTAAGAATTCGCTCCATACGTGCTTGAGGTAAATAGGAGAAACCTAGAATTTATGTAAACAGTGAGAAGATTGGATGCGTTTTATGTCACATATTTTAATACTAGCAGCTTATTATATATGTCAATCCATCAGGCATTCAGAAATACATGCTTATGAAAATTTTTTGCACCATCAGACAAAAGACAAGGGTAGAAGACATTTGTAACCCTATAAACACTAGTAAATTAAAAACAGAAGGACCTTTATGTCCTAATATATCTGTGTTGTGAAAGGCTGCCCTGTGAATTACGGGATTTCTTAAACATATTTTAAAAATCATAGGTGTCAATATTTTTTAGAAATCCATTTAAATTTTCTCTTACTTTACAATGCCTATTTATTTATTTAGTGGCTCTGCTGATTTTGATGTATATCCTAAACTTTATATTCTCTTTAAAGAATGTTTTATACAACTTTATGTAAAATGTTTCAGTATCTTCACGTTGTTTCCCTGTCCTTTTGTTTTGCTCTTATATGGTGTTCTTGAGTCTTTTCTCTGGCTTTTCAAACCTGGTAAGACTAAGACACTAAAGGAACTTTGCCCGTGGTTTCGTAATGCCTTCCAAAGCACATCTTAAGCTCTCGTGCATACAGGGGTCTCCTTTGAGCTCTGTGCTTTTGAGATCCTATATACCTAAATTCCAGTACTCCAAATCAGTACTGCTCAGTTTTAGTGACTAAGTTTAAAAAGGTATTTTAATAGCAAGTTAATTTAGTGCACTCTTGCTTCTTTCTTGACTGCTTGTATACATGTATATTCCTTTAAATGAATCTTGGAATTTATTTAAAAATTTTAAATTATACTACTGAAACTGTATATTGTTGTGAATTCATAAGTGAATTTGGAAAGAATTTGTCTTTATGATACTAAATCTTTTTTACCAAAGAATAATATGTGTCTTTATATTTATTCCAGTCTATATTTATATCACTGAGTAATTATATAGAAATGTAGATACATACAGCTGTAGTTATAGATACAAATATAGATATAACATGTTAAATCTATATCTATCCCATATAACATATATTCATGTTATATGTGTGTATGTATATATACATATGATTATGTCATTAAAGAGCTCCCTTAAAATTTTTCTTTTATTTCCCATATAATTTTAGGTCGAGCTTGAATTTTCCTTGTATAAACAAGCAAATGTTATACTAGTTTTAATACTGATGTTTAGACATTGTATCTTATTTTAGCATTGAATATTTTCACAATTAGTATAAATATTATCTAATAATAATGTACCTGTTAAAAATATTTAAAATTTTACCTTTGAATTATTTTATTGTTGAATTAAAATTCCTTTAATATGATAGTAAATTTCTATGTTATGCTTTCTCTATGCATATGCAAATTAATCTATCCACTTCTCTATCTCTTTGTAGTGACATATGAAAATCAGGCCTCTCTTCTTCTAATGGACATACACATGTTTGCATATAGAATATCAGACTCTTTATAGCATTTAAAATATTTAAAGACATGAATATTGCCTTTAACAAATATACATTAGCATGTACTGAGTATCCCCTATTTATTTTTAATTTGGGCTAATCAATATGATTATTAATATTATTGGATTACCAAATTTGGAAACACACTTTCATCCCCAAGGTGCATATTTGTTTTCTTTTTTTTTTTTGCCAGTTTCTTGTCTTACTGTTTCAAATATTGTTGGATATTGTTTTTATTTCATTTGACATTTTAGTATCAACATTTGTAATTGAGGAACTCTACATATTTTTTCTTCAATATCTGGTGGATTTTATAATTACTGTTATATTGAATTTGTAGTAGACATTGACAAAAATTATTCCTGTATGTTTTATAGCTGTATGAGGGAAACTAATATATTTTACCCCTAAATATATTTCCTTGATATATTTCAAAATGGCTATTGAGAAGGGCTGGAAATGCAAAGTTAGCTGCAAAGCTGTCTTGGGGAGATTTGCATCGGTAGAGAATATGCCTTGATGCAGCCAGGCTTTCTCTGAGGTCTGCCCCCTTGTCTGGATCTAGGAAAGTTTAACTGAGAGTCTGAGGTCTCCAAAGGTCTGAAAGAAACTTTTTCTGTCTATTCTCTCTGAGGACTGCTCCCAGTGAAGTTCCACCTAGGTAATAAATCCACTGTTGCTAGCCAGGGTCGTTTTCTCACATAACCTTTCTTTTTTTTTCCCTGTGATCCAAGACCCCATTCTTTTTGTACACTTCATGTGGTAGATAAGCTTCTGCATGCATCGTGTGTCTGGGTCTTCGTTCTAAGGGCTCCACTGTACACACATTGCAGAAACCTGTATGCTTTTTATACTATTTATCTGCCTCCTATTAGTGATTTTCAGGGAAACTTCATTAGGCAAAAGGGACATTCTTCTTTAGCCCATTCTGAGACAAAATCTCCCAGCATTTAACTTATTCCTAATAGCTTAAAATCACTTTGAAAAATCCATATATTTATAATCTTTTCTTCCCTCTATGATTTCTGGTCAGCTTGGGTTTTGTTTTTCATTCCATTTACTTCATCCTCGAAAAGATCTCTTTTACGTCTATTTATTCTCATTTATGGACATTGAGAAAAGAAAACAACTTTCATGTGAGAAATGCAAGTCCCTTTAAATAATCAGGCCCAGAGAGATATTCAAATGAGACAGCAGTTCTGTCCTTCTCCTCTTTGAGCTGTATGTTCATCTAGGCTGCTTGCTGTTGCCACAGTAGCTATAAATTAACCAATAACGCCACACCAGACACTATAATCCACACCCCATAATAGTGTAACAGTGTATAGCCAGTCACTAATAAATGTTATTTCCATAAGCCAATGGGAATTTGTGACAAACCTCTTTGCATCATCCCACTTCTGGACCCTTTTTTGCCTTTAAGAAACTGCTTGTTGCAAAGCTCCAAAGGGAGTTCATATCCAAGGATACTTTGGTCTGTTTCTTCCAGGCAGCTGTCCTCATTGTGGCTCAAGTAAACTCTTTGAATTACATTTTGTGCTTCAGCCCCTTCCACTTAGATTAACAACATGGATTTGTGTCACCCTATAAAACAATTAAAATGTTTACACTTTTCCCCTCGAGGGCACTGATGTGTTTTCCTGAGTACTTGGAATAGCTACATAGTGTTTCCTGTCTAGATTATGGTTTCTCAACCTTGGTGCTACTTACCTTTAGGACCAGAGGATTCTTTGTTGTGGGAGGCTGCCCTAGCAATGCTAGGGGTTTCGTTTGACTTCTAAATTTCACACCTCCACCAGTCTTGACATGCCCACAATAACCCTAGACATTAACAAATGTCTCCTGGGGAAAACTCTCCACTGGTTGACAGGCAAAGTTCTGGAAATATTGGAATTGTCAATTGAGAGTTTATGTTATCCAAAACAAATATTTTTCTTTGTTTTTAAACATCTACTTCCATCTACTTATCTACTTATTTTTACTTTTATTTGTAACTTAATTCCATCAAGGAGAGAGAGTGCATTTTCTGTTATGCTAAATTTTTGAAGAATGTATTGATTTTTTATGACCTGATATATGGATGATATGTAGATATTACATGTTTGTATTATCAAATTTCAGGGCGTTAATAAAATAAATACTAACAATATTTATACTGTCACTGTATATTAGTTATTTTCTTTCTTCACTACAGGAGTTTTTCAACCTATAGGCTATTTTTCAATTCCAGGTTATCCAGTAGATTTTGAAATGTTATGATTAAATATCTATTTCTCAAGCATTCATCTTTGTAAATGAAACAATCCCAAGCTCTTATAATGCACATCATATAAAGGGCAGATTAGTCCATATATAGTTCAGAAATAATTATGTAATATTTATAAGAAAATTAAAACTTTAGATCCTTAACTCAGATAACAATAATCCAAATTAAAATTTGATTTCATTACATAATTTAAAATGACACCAGAATACTAGTAAAAATGTAGCTAAGTTTATATAATCTTTTTTAGCTGTAGGACTTTATTAGCATAAATTAAAATACAGGATCCAAAGCAAGATTGAGACCTATAGTCAAAGATTAAAATTTACACATCATAGGGGCATGATTAAACTAATTTAAAGCATAATAACATGGAGAAATATTGCAAAATATGCATTTTACTGAATTAATTGTTAATATCTAATCATTATGTGAGAACAAATTTAAAGAGTAGCTACACAGGCGCACACCCACACACAACTGCAATATTGTCAAATAAACGATGTTCAGCTACACTAGAAATCACACCTGTGTTTTTTTCCACAGAAGAGCAAAGATTAAAAATCACAATATTATTTATTGTACATATGGAGGTAAAGATACTCAAAATATTACCCAAAAATGCATTTTTTTTTGAGATGGAGTTTTGCTTTTATTGCCCAGGCTAGAGTGCAATGGCACAATCTTGGCTCACTGCAACCTCAGCCTCCCAGGGTCAAGTAATTCTCCTAGCTCAGCCTCCCAAGTAGCTGAGATTACAGGCATGCACCACCACACTCGGCTAATTTTTTTGTATTTCGTAGAGACGAGGTTTCACCATGTTGGTCAGGCTGGTCTCCAACTCCTGACTTCAGGTGCTCTACCCACTTCAGCCTCCCAAAGTGTTGGGATTACAGGCGTGCGCCTGGCCAGCTTTTTGACATATTTCAAGATGGCTACTCAGAAAAGTGGATATAGCTTCTTCTACAAAAATAGCTGAAAAGCTGTGTTTGTTGGGGAGATTTGTATTTGTAGAGAAAATCTGCATTGATATAGACACGCTTTCCCTGAGATACTCCCTTGTCTGGGTTTAGGAAAGATTAACTGAGTCTGGCACGTTTACATTTCTAAAAACCATTTCTTATCTATACTTCCCAAGAGGAGGGCTGCTCCCTGTGAGGTTTCATCCATGTAACAAGACCACCTCTGCTGCCAGGCTCCTCTTTCTTCCTTGTCGTCACCTGTCTTCCGCAAAGCCTGATTTACCAACCTACAGCTCTGTGTTTTCTGTAACCTCAAGACAGCACAGGCGTGTTGACTACCTTGCCTTTCCTGGAGTTTTTATATATATAGTGTATATTTTTATATCTGTTTATAATATACAAATATTTGTATAGCTATATTATATATATTATGTAAACTCCAAGTGCATACTTGTGCACATATCTGTAAACCTTTTTTCCTGTTAATTTGTACATTATCAGTTTATTTTATAGACTCAAATAATTAAAGCTTCAAGGAAAAATTGAAACTTTCCTATAGAGAAAAGACAAATAGGTGACAAATAATATTTAGAGTGTAAGACACTTTTTAAAGGTATATTTGCAATTTGTGTCAAAACATTTAAGTATACATTTGTTACTTTAACTATAAAATTTCAAATAATTTAAGCCAAATACATAGTATATGCAGAAAATTAGCAATATATCTATGTAGCACCTTACTGTGCATTACTGTAACCAGTCGTCTAACATAAAGAACTAATTAAGGTAGCACCTACTTTTCAAATATCGCATTTTTTTCACTGACCTATTAAATAAGACAAATAACATTTAAACTTTATTTTTAAATTTGCAGAATAGTAGTTTTCAGCAGATGTTTTATTTTAGCAAATTCCATCTTCACATTGTGCTATGCTTTTATGAGTTCCACTTCTTAACGGATCATATTTTACTGCTGAAACTATCATGTGTGATATAATTGCTCATTATGTGCCTTAAAACACAAGCAATATAATTATTTTCAACTTGGAGCAAATTAAAATCTTATCAGCAATTTAAAATCTATAGAGTCGTCTTCTTTTGGTTAATTATTTTAAACTTGTATTTTTCTCTTTATGTTTTTAGTGAGTTCTCTTATCAAGGAGAATAACTCAAGCTGATTATTCTTTTTTTTTTCTCTTCCATCCACCTCGCAGGTGTGTTAATAATTTCATTTCTCAGAAAATGTTCTTTCATATCCATCTTACAAGATGAGAGACCTTTCAACATCTTCCATTCGGATGTCATACGAATAATGGAACATATTCCAGCTTCATGAATATGGTGATACAAATAGTTATCCGTCTAACCTCTTTCAGTGCCAAATGTTTACTTTACTCAG
>NC_000001.11:125103233-125130246 GCF_000001405.40 Homo sapiens | reverse complement strand
AGTCCCAGTTACAGCATCATGTTCTGTAACTCTACTCCTTGTTGCTTCATTCTGCCATTGTCTGGTATGATCTCCCATTTCCCTTCTGTAATCAGGCCAAGAGCATAATATAACACTAGTTATAACTGCACAGGTTGCCTTCGTTGTGTAAAAAAATCTCTGAGACTTAACTGTGTCCAACTTTTAAAATGTGAATATAAGTACAACTAAAGTTATATTTTGGTTAATATTTGCATTGCATGCTTTTCCATTATTTACTTTCAACATATGTGAAATATGAATATAAATTATAAAAACTTTAAGAGAGTCCATTTAAAAAATCTGGCCTTGTAATGTTTTACCTGTTTTAATACAACGTGCATTCTTGAATTTAGGGTCTAATATAATTGGTACATCTGTCTATTTGCAAAAAAAAATAAAAAACTTGACAATATTTTAAAATTAATTTATCCAACTCACAACTTATATGCTTCTGCCGTTGTATGGAAGATACATTTTAAACTTTATGAGATAGCAGTCTGTTATACAGTCAATATCCAATTAAATTTCTCTCTCTGTTTATTTCTTTCATTAAAAAATTGTTCTTCTAACTGCAAACTTTCATCAGGGATCATGGCTCTTCTACCTGAAGAATAATCTTTAGTATTTCTTTTCCTGAGGGTCTGCTTGGGAGAAATTCTTTATTGTATCTTTGCTTTTGATGGATATGTCCACCAAGTAGACAGTTCTAGGTCAGCACTTATTTTGTTTCAGGACTTGAAAGATATCAATACCGCACTTGTTGGCTTTCGTTGTTTCGTTTGAGAAAGTTGTTATCAGTCAACTCTTTCTCTTTGTAGTTAGCCCAATTTTTTTATCAAGTGCTCTTTACATTTTTCTTTTACTTTTCAGAAAGTGTCCCATTATGTTTCTAGGTGTGTCCTCTGTATGTGTTTTCCTTTGCTTTGAAAAGCCTCCTGAACCTGTCGTTTAATATTATTGGTCAATTTTGATAAAACCTCTAACATTGCCACTTAAAATGCTGTTCAGACAAGCTGTTTGCTCCTTCTTAGATTTCAACGTGTTAGATTATTACTCTATCCTTCATATTTTTTAAATGACCTTTCTCTACAATTTTTTTTAGTTGGTTAATCTGTATTAGTGTATATTTTGTTATTTTATTCTATTTTATTTTATTATTTTACCTTAAGTTTTAGGATACATGTGCACCATGTGCAGGTTTATAACATAAGTGTTTATGTGCCATGTTAGTGTGCTGCACCCATTAACTCGTCATTTAGCATTAGGTATATCTCCTAATGCTATCCCTCCCCACTCACCCCACCCCACAACAGTCCCCGAAGTGTGATGTTCCCCTTCCTGTGTCCATGTGTTCTCATTTTTCAATACCCACATATGAATGATAACATGTGGTGTTTGGTTTTTTGTCATTGCGAGAGCTTACTGAGAATGATGATTTCCAGTTTCATCCATGTCCCTACATAGGACACGAACTCATCATTTTTTGTGGCTGCATAGTACTCCATGGTGTATATGTGCCACATTTTCTTAATCCAGTCTATCGTTGTTGGACATTTGGGATGGTTCCAAGTCTTTGCTATTGTGATACTGCCGCAATAAACATACGTGTGCATGTGTCTTTATTGCAGTATGATTTATAGTCCTTTGTGTATATACCCAGTAATGGAATGGCTGGGTCACATGGTATTTCTAGTTCTAGATACTTGAGGAATCGCCACACTGACTTCCACAATGGTTGAACTAGTTTACCGTCAAACCAACAGTGTAAAAGTGTTCCTATTTCTCCACATCCTCTCCAGCACCTGCCATTTCCTGATTTTTAATGATCGCCTTTCTAACTGGTGTGAGATGGTATCTCATGGTGGTTTTGATTTGCATTTCTCTGATGGCCAGTGATGATGAGCATTTTTTCATGTGTTTTTTGGCTGCATAAATGTCTTCTTTTGAGAAGTGTCTGTTCGTGTCCTTCACCCACTTTTTGATGGGGTTGTTTGTGTTTTACTGGTAAATTTGTTTGAGTTCATTGTAGATTCTGGTTATTAGCCCTTTGTCAGCTGAGTAGGTGGCAAAAATTTTCTCCCATTTTGTAGGTTGCCTGTTCACTCTGATGGTAGTTTCTTTTGCTGTGCAGAAGCTCTTTAGTTTAATTAGATCCCCTTTGTCAATTTTGGCTTTTGTTCCCATTGCTTTTGGTGTTTTAGACATGAAGTCCTTGCCCAGGCCTATGTCCTGAATGGTATTGTCTAGGTTTTCTTCTAGGGTTTTTATGATTTTAGGTCTAACATGTAAGTCTTTGATCCAACTTGAATTAATTTTTGTATATGGTGTAAGGAAGGGATCCAGTTTCAGCTTTCTACATATGGCTAGCCAGTTTTCCCAGCACCATTTATTAAATAGGGAATCCTTTCCCCATTGCTTGTTTTTGTCAGGTTTGACAAAGATCAGACAGTTGTAGCTATGCAGCATTATTTCTGAGGGCTCTGTCCTGTTCCATTGATCTATGTCTTTGTTTTGGTACCAGTACCATGCTGTTTTGGTTACTGTAGCCTTGTAGTATAGTTTGAAGTCAGGTAGCGTGATGCCTCCAGCTTTGTTCTTTTGGCTTAGGATTGACTTGGTGATGCGGGCTCTTTTTTGGTTCCATATGTACTTTAAAGTCGTTTTTTCCAATTCTGTGAAGAAAGTCATTGGTAGCTTGATGGGGATGGCATTGAATCTATAAATTACCTTGGGCAGTATGGCCATTTTCACGATATTGATTCTTCCAACCCAAGAGCATGGAATGTTCTTCCATTTGTTTGTATCCTCTTTTATTTCATTGAGCAGTGGTTTGCAGTTCTCCTTGAAGATGTCCTTCATGTCCTTTGTAAGCTGGGTTCCTAGGTATTTTATTCTCTTTGAAGCAATTGTGAATGGGATTTCCCTCATGATTGGGCACTCTGTTTGTCTGTTATTGGTGTACAAGAATGCTTGTGATTTTTTTACATTGATTTTGTATCCTGAGACTTTGCTGAATTTGCTTATCAGCTTAAGGAGATTTGGGGCTGAGACAATGGGGTTTTCTAAATATACAACCATGTCATCTGCAAACGGGGACAATTTGACTTCCTCTTTTCCTAATTGAATACCCTTTGTTTCCTTCTCCTGCCTGATTGCCCTGGCCAGAACTTCCAACACTATGTTGAATAGGAGTATTGAGAGAGGACATCCCTGTCGTGTGCCAGTTTTCAAAAGGAATGCTTCCAGTTTTTGCCCATTCAGTATGATATTGGCTGTGGGTTTGTCCTAGATAGCTCTTATTATTTTGAGATACGTCCCATCAATACCTAATTTATTGAGAATTTTTAGCATGAAGGGCTGTTGAATTTTGTCAAAGGCCTTTTCTTCATCTATTGAGATAATCATGTGGTTTTTGTCCTTGGTTAGGTTTATATGTTGGATTATGTTTATTGATTTGCATATGTTGAACCAGCCTTGCATCCCAGGGATGAAGCCCACTTGATCATGGTGGATAAGCTTTTTGATGTGCTGCTGGATTCGGTTAGCCAGTATTTTATTGAGGATTTTTGCATCAATGTTCATGAAGGATATTGGCCTAAAATTCTCTTTTTTGGTTGTGTCTCTGCCCGGCTTTGGTATCAGGATGATGCTGGCCTCATAAAATTAGAGAGGAATCCCTCTTTTTCTGTTGTTTGGAATAGTTTCAGAAGGAATGGTACCAGTTCCTCCTTGTTCCTCTGGTAGAATTCTGCTGTGAATCCATCTGGTCCTGGACTCTTTTTGGTTGGTAAGCTATTGATTATTGCCACAATTTCAGAGCCTGTTATTGGTCTATTCAGAGATTCAACTTCTTCCTGGTTTAGTCTTGGGAGAGTGTATGTGTCGAGGAATTTATCCATTTCTTCTACATTTTCTAGTTTATCTGTATAGAGGTGTTTTTAGTTTTCTGTGATGGTAGATTGTATTTCTGTGGGATAGGTGGTGATATCCCCTTTATCATTTTTTGTTGCGTCTATTTGATTCTTCTCTCTTTTCTTCTTTATTAGTCTTGCTGGTGGTCTATCAATTTTGTTGATCTTTTCAAAAGACCAGCTGCTGGATTCATTAATTTTTGAAGGGTTTTTTGTGTCTCTATTTCCTTCAGTTCTGCTCTGATTTTAGTTATTTCTTGCCTTCTGCTAGCTTTTGAATGTGTTTGCTCTTGCTTTTCAAGTTCTTTTAATTGTGATGTTAGGGTGTCAATTTTGGATCTTTCCTGCTTTCTCTTGTGGGCATTTAGTGCTATAAATTTCCCTCTACACACTGCTTTGACTGTGTCCCAGAGATTCTGGTATGTTTTTTCTTTGTTCTCGCTGGTTTCAAAGAACATCTTTATTTCTGCCTTCATTTTGTTATGTACCCAGTGGTCATTCCGGAGCAAGTTGTTCATTTTCCATGTAGTTGAGCGGTTTTCAGTGAGTTTCTTAATCCTGAGTTCTAGTTTGATTGCACTGTGGTCTCAGAGACAGTTTGTTATAATTTCTGTTCTTTTACATTTGCTGAGGAGAGCTTTACTTCCAACTATGTGATCAAGTTTGGAATGGGTGTGGTGTGGTGCTGAAAAAAATGTATATTCTGTTGATTTGGGGTGAAGAGTTCCGTAGATCTCTATTAGGTGTGCTTGGTGCAGAGCTGAGTTCAATTCCTGGGTGTCCTTGCTAACTTTCTGTCTCATTGATCTGTCTAATGTTGACAGTGGCATGTTAAAATCTCCCATTATGATTGTGGGGGAGTCTAAGTCTCTTTGTAGGTCACTCAGGACTTGCTTTATGAATCTTGGTGCTCCTGTATTGGGTGCATATATATTTAGGATAGTTAGCTCTTCTTGTTGAATTGATCCCTTTACCATGATGTAATGGCCTTCTTTGTCTCTTTTGATCTTTGTTGGTTTAAAGTCTATTTTATCACAGACTAGGATTGCAACCCCTGCCTTTTTTTGTTTTCCATTTGCTTGGTAGACCTTCCTCCATCCCTTTATTTTGAGTCTATGTGTGTCTCTGCACGTGAGATGGGTTTCCTGAATACAGCACACTGATGGGCCTTGTCTCCTTCTCCAATTTGCCAGTCTGTGTCTTTTCATTGGAGCATTTAGCCCATTTACATTTAAAGTTAATATTGTTATGTGTGAATTTGATCCTGTCATTATGATGTTAGCTGGTTATTTTGCTCGTTAGTTGATGCAGTTTCTTCCTAGTCTCAATGGTCTTTACAATTTGGCATGTTTTTCCAGTGGCTGGTACCAGTTGTTCCTTTCCATGTTTAGTGCTTCCTTCAGGAGCTCTTTTAGGGCAAGCAAATCTCTCGCATTTGCTTGTCTGTAAAGGATTTTATTTCTCCTTCACTTATGAAGCTTAGTTTGGCTGGATATGAAATTCTGGGTTGAAAATTCTTTTCTTTAAGAATGTTGAATATTGGCCCCCACTCTCTTGT
Source organism: Homo sapiens (assembly GCF_000001405.40). Lineage (NCBI taxonomy): Eukaryota > Metazoa > Chordata > Mammalia > Primates > Hominidae > Homo > Homo sapiens. The sequence goes on along the minus strand of NC_000001.11, from coordinate 125,124,756 downwards.
GGCTTGAAGAGTTTCTGCCGAGAGATCAGCTGTTAGTCTGATGGGCTTCCCTTTGAGGGTAACCCGACCTTTCTCTCTGGCTGCCCTTAACATTTTTTCCTTCATTTCAACTTTGGTGAATTTGACAACTATGTGTCTTGGAGTTTCTCTTCTGGAGGATTATCTTTGTGGCGTTCTCTGTGTTTCTTGAATCTGAATGTTGGCCTGCCTTGCTAGATTGGGGAAGTCCTCCTGGATAATATCTTGCAGATTGTTTTCCAACTTAGTTCCATTCTCCCCGTCACTTTCAGGTACACCAATCAGACGTAGGTTTGGTCTTTTCACAGAGTCCCATAATTCCTGGAGGCTCTGTTCGTTTCTTTTTATTCTTTTTTCTCTAAACTTCCCTTCTCCCTTCGTTTCATTCATTTCATCTTCCATCACTGACACCCTTTCTTCCAGTTGATTGCATCAGCTCCTGAGGCTTCTGCCTTCTTCACGTAGTTCTCGAAACTTGGCTTTCAGCTCCATCAGATCCTTTAAGCATTTCTCTGCATTGGTTATTCCAGTTATATATTCGTCTAATTGTTTTTCAAAGTTTTTAACTTCTTTGCTATTGGTTTGAATTTCCTCCTGTAGCTCGCAGTAGTTTGATCATCTGAAGCCTTCTTCTCTCAAATCGTCAAAGTTATTCTCTGTGCAGTTTTTTTCCATTGCTGGTGAGGAACTGTATTCCTTTGGAGAAGGAGAGACACTCTGCTTTTTAGAGTTTCCAGTTTTTCTGCTCTGTTTTCTCCCCATCTTTGTGGTTTTATCAACTTTTGGTCTTTGATGATGGTGATTCACAGATGGGTTTTTGGTATGGGTGTCCTTTCTGTTTGTTAGCTTTCCTTCTAACAGACAGGACCCTGAGCTGCAGGTCTGTTGGAGTTTACTAGAGGTCCACGTCAGAGCCTGTTTGCCTGGGTATCAGCAGCGGTGGCGGCAGAACAGCGGATTTTCGTGAACCACAAATTCAGCTGTCTGATCATTCCTCTGGAAGTTTGGCCTCAGACGACTACCCGGCCGAGTGAGGTGTCAGTCTGTCCCTACAGGGGGGTGCCTCCCAGTTAGGCTGCTCGGGGTTCAGTGACCCAATTTAGGAGGCAGCTGCTCAGTCTCAGATCTCCAGTTGCATGCTGGGAGAACCAGTACTCTCTTCAAAGCTGTTCAGACAGGGACATTTAAGTCTGCAGAAGTTACTGCTGACTTTTTGTGTGTCTATGCCCTGCCCCCAGAGGTGGAGCCTACAGAGGCAGGCAGGCCTCCTGGAGCTGTTGTGGGTTCCACCCAGTTCCAGCTGCCTGGCTGTTTTGTTTACCTAAGAAAGCCAGGGCAATGGCGGGCCCCACTCCCCCAGCCTCGCTGCCGCCTTGCAGTTTGATCTCAGAGTGCCGTGCTAGCAATCAGCAAGACTCCATTGGCATAAGACCCTCCGAGCCAGGTGCAGGACACAATCTCCTGGTGTGCCGTTTTCTAAGCCTGTTGGAAAAGTGCAGCATTAGGGTGAGAGTGACCCGATTTTCCAGGTGCCGTCTGTCACCCCGTTCTTTGACTAGGAAAGGGAACTTCCTGACCCCTTGTGCTTCCTGAGTGAGGCAATGCCTCACCCTGCTTCGGCTCCCATACGGTGGGCTGCACCCACTGTTTGGCACTCCCTTAGTGAGATGAACCCGGTACCTCAGATGGAAATGCAGAAATCACCCGTCTTCTGCGTCGCTCATGCTGGGAGTTGTAGACCGGAGCTGTTCCTATTAGGCCATCTTGGCTCCACCCCTCATTTCATTATTTCAACATTTCACTTCATTTCATCATTTCATTTCATCATTTCATACCATTTCTTCATTTCATCATTTCGTCCTTTCATTTCATTTCACCATTTCACTTCATCATTTAATTTCCTCATTTCATTGCACCATTTCATCATTTCATCATTTTATTTCATCATTCCATTTCATCATTTCATCATTTCATTTCATCTCATTTCATTTCATCATTTCATTTCAGCATTTCATTTCATCATTTCACCATTTCATTTCATCTCATCATTTCATTTCATTTCATCATTTTATCATGTCATTTCATTTCATCATTTCATCATTTCATTTCATGTCATCATTGCATCATTTCATTTCATTTCAGTGATACATGTATTTAAGTGCTAATGCGATGCCCAGAAAACACCCTATTTCCCTTTGTAAAACACCTCCTTCAACAAAACTCAACCTCTCATGGCTGGCTAAGTCTACAGGGATACCAGCCTCTCTTCAACCACCCAATTTCATTTAGAACCTCAAACAGCACCTCAGTTTCATAAAAACCTAAAACATAAACACAACTCTTGGTTGTAAGTGAGCCAACAGTTTCTTGTCTCTTTCTCTGCTCAAGGCTTAAGGCCGTGTCTCCCCAACTACGTTTAGTGGAAGAAAAGATCCCCTGGACAAACAAGTTTGAGAACTGTTGTTGTAGGACTTCTGAGAAACTTTAAAACACCAACCCTCATCCGCAGGGATCTTCAGGAGGGAGATGGCTGATGCAGCACAACTTTCTTTCACAGGAGCATCTTGCAGAATACAGTATGAGATACAGGAAGGCTGCATTGAGTCTTTTTAATGGCCCGGGCCTTGGTGGGGGTGGGGTAGGAGCTCTCCAGATAGCATATAATGAGTAGGAACATTCAGGTGGCTTTTTTTTTCCTTACTGGCAAAACTGTGTGTGCATCATGAATGAAGCCGGTCTCCCTCATCCATATCAAAACTAAACCCAAATTAATTGGCTAAATTGGGGCACAACACCTCCAGAAGCCATGCGGAAGAAAGCCCCACCACACTTTAAAGTAGCTTACCTCATATTTGAGGAAAGCAAAACGCTTATGACCAGTATTCTGCTAATACAAGTCAACAGATAATGCTGTATGAAAAATTATTTTTCCCAATCATAGCTAGCATAGTCCACATTTTGCATTACAACTTTCCTCCTTTTTCAAAATTTTAAACACAGGTCCTTTTCTCTCATTTTTTAAATTTTTAATTAAATTATACAAGACGGAGTCTCAGTATGTTGCCCAGGCTGGTCTTCAACTCCTGAGATCAAACGATACATCCATCTCCGCCTCCCAAAGTGCTAATATTACAGGCCTGAGACACTGTGCCCGGCCTTAAACACAAATCTTAATTCATTCTTACAATTATTCTGAGGTTAGAAAAATGGAAGGGGAAGAAAAATTGCAAGCAGGTAGGCTGACTTCGGCTTCATTATTTGGAAGGACAGTTTGCTCGGTTAAAACACACTACTGCCCACAAAGGCCAAGACAACAGAAAAATACAGACATATCAATAGATTTTATATGTGACAGCAATTTGAATGGAGACTTTTTCAATGCAAATGGCAAACAGCTGTCCTTAGGAATAAGTGAAAACGAATTTTTTTTATCTCAACAGCTGTCCTGAGAGCATGTCTCTACATCTCTACCTGCATTCTGGAGTCAGGGAGAAAGCCAAAACGGACGACAAGACACTAGATCAGCCGTGTCCAACCCTTTGACTACAAGGACTTTTCCTCCTATCTGTGGTGGTGGGTATCATGAAAATTATGCACAAACCTTTTTTTTTTAAGCTCATCAGCTATCATGAGCAGTAGTGTATTTTATCTGTGGCCCAGGAGCATTCTTCTTCCAATGTGGCCCTGAGAAGCCAAAAGACTGGACACCTGTGCACTAGATCAAAAGGCTACTCCTTCTGGAAGCAACTGTAAAGAATTTCTAACATTATCTTGACATGAAAACCAATGGATAGTGGGACAGAATGCAAAATCTTCAAGAATTTTTCTTGTTGGTTTTTTTTTTTTTTTGAATCAAGGTGTTGCTCTGTGGCCCAGGCTGGAATACACTGGTGAGATCACAGCTCAGTGCAGGCTCAAGTGCTCCTCCCGCCTCAGCCACAGTAGTAGCTAGGACTACAGATGTGCACAACCACTCCTTGCTAATATTTTATTTTTTGTAGAGATGGGGTCTCATTATATTGTCCAGGTTGGTCTCAAACTCCTTGACTCAAGGGATCCAGGACAGGACAACAGGCGTGAACCACCACACATGGCTATGTGCATGAACTTTTAAGACAAATACAAGGCTCCACAAAAGTTAAGGTTTTCCCACGTAATTTCCAGGGGATCTTTTGGTGCAAGGATGAGAAACCCTTAAAACTACCCAGACGTCTCCAAAGATTCAAGACAGTTCATTCGGGCTGAGCCAGCCCACTGGGCAGACTGACCTTCAAACAAGGCCCACCCATGACATACACCAGATGGCTCTCCAAGAATCTCTCCAGTTCTCAGGGTCCCTAAAGTACTGGACAGAGGTAGGAAAGCAAACCCATTTGCTTCTTCCTGCAGGAAACCCCTTGAGGTCAAGACCCCACAATCAGACGAGGATGGAGTGCCTCACCCTCAGTCAACAGGCCAGACTCAAGGTGATATAATGTCTCAACCAAGGGTGTGGGACTCCAGGTCTGAATCTGAACTCAGTTCTCCTTTGATAACCACACTTTGTTAATTTTCCCTAACAGGGGTTCCTGGCAAGTCCTTTCTCCCTCAGGCCTTCGGTTTCCTCACCTACAAGATGAGAAGGCTGCACCAGATGGAAATTCGGGGCGTAAGGGGATGTCCGCACGCAGCCCACCCCTCCCACGGGCCCCTTGAGCCTCCATCACAGTTCCCAACACGCACCCACCCCACAAATCCTGCCCAAGGTGAGGGCTGGTCTCGGGTCCTCCGGCTGCCGCATCAGCCAGTGCAGAAGGGAGGAGAAGCCTCCAAGGGGGTGACGCGGGCTCAAGGATGCAACTCGGCCAGGAGTTAACTTGGGCCCAGAGGGAGATGTCCAGCCCGGTGCTGGAGCCCAGCCCTGGTCCCCGATCCCCTTACCTGCACGGTCTGTATCTCCTGCTGGGTGAGGTCCTTGGACACAGCGCACTTGGTGCGCAGCCCCCGCAGGCTGCCAAGGGAGATGCCGATGAGCTTCTGAAGCTGTCCTCACTGCTGCAGCACCCGGCTGGCTGCGGCCCCTGGGCCTCCCTCCGCGATAGCCGCGTCACCCCCTCCACCGCTCTCCTTCTTCTCTCCCATCGGGGCCGAGCGCAGTGCAGCTCTATGCTGGCTGCAGCTGCCCAGGAACAGAGCCTGGGGCGCGGGTGTCTAGGCAAGGAACCCCCGAACCGGGAGAGCTGGACCAGGAGTGACCCTCGGCGCTGCCTTAGCCAGGACGCAGGTAGATCTGGAAGCTGAGTCTGCTGATCCCGCCCTCAGACCCGCGGCGGTGGGGGCAAAAACACGCGACGGCGGGGTGAAAAAGCCGCAGGGGTAAAAACCTGTGGCGGCGGGAGTAAAAAGCCGCGACGGCGGGGAAAAAGCCGCGGTGACGGGGGCAAAAAGCCGCGGCGGCGGGGGCAAAAAGCCGCAAAAAGCCGCGGCGGCGGGCGCAAAAAGCCGCAACGGTGGGGTCCAAAAGCCGGGGCGACGGGGGCAACAATCCACAGCGGCGGGGGCAACAAGCCAGGGCGGCCGAGGCAAACAGCCACGGCGACAAAAAGCTGCGGTGGCGGGGGCAAAAAGATGCGGTGACGGGGGCAAAAAGCCGTAAAAAGCCACAGCATCGGGGTAAGAAAGCCGCGACGGCGGGGACAAAAACCACGGTGGCGGGGTAAGAAGCCGCGGCGGCAAAAAGATGCGGCGGCGGGGGCAAAACGGTGCGGCGGCGGCAAAAAGCCGCGGCGTCGGGGGCAAAAAGCCTCAAGAAGCCGCAGCGGAGTGGGTAAAAAGCCGCAAAAAGTCGCGACAGAGGGGGCAAAAAGCAGGGGCGGCAAAAAGCCACGACGGCGGGGACATGAAGGCGCAAAAACCGTCGGCGGCAGGAGCAAAAACCCGTGGCGGCGGGGGCAAAAAGTGGCTGGGGTGATAAAAAGCCGTGGCGGCGGGGCAGGAAGCCGCGTACGGGGCAAGGAGCCGCGGCAGCGGGGGCAAAAAGCTGCGGTGGCAGGGGAAAATAGCAGCAAAAAGTCGCGGCGGCGGGGGCAAAACGACACAAAAAGCCCGGGCAGTGGGGGCAAGAAGCCGCGGCTGGAAAAACCTGCGGCGGAGGGGGAAAAAAGCCGCGGCAGCGGGGGCGAAAAGGCGTAAAAAGCCGCGGTGGCGGGGGCCAAAAGCCGCGGCGGCAAAAAGCCGTAAAAAGCCGGGGCGGCAAGGCAAGAAGCCACGGCGGGAAAAACCTGCGGCGGCGGTGACAAAAAGCCGCGGCGGAAAAATTTGCGGTGGCGGGGGCAAAAAGCTGCGGCAGCAGGGGGAAAAAGCCGCAAAAAGCCGCGTCAGCTAGGGCAAAAATCCGTGGCTTCAGGGGCAAAAAGCCGCAGCGGCGGGGGGAGAAAGAGGCAAAAAGCTGCAGCGGCAAAAAGCCTCGGCGGCGAGGGCAAAGAGCCCCAAAAGCCGCGGCGGCAGGGGCTAAATTCCGCGAGGCCGGGGGCAGAAAGCAACGGCGGCGGGGGCATAAAGCCGCAAAAACCCGCAGCGGTGGGGTCACAAATCCACGACGGCAAAAAGCCGCGTCGGCGGGGGCAAAATAGTGGAAATGGGGTAGAAGGCCAGCACAGCTTGGCATTCCTGGAGTGTGATGTGGAAGGAAAAGTGCAGAGGAAGACAAACAAAGATGTAAGTAGGCTTGACTCAGTGTAGCTAAGAACCCACATGTTATCTTGATGTTATCTATCAGCTAATTTTTTGTATTTTAGTAGAGAAGGGGTTTTACCACGTTGGCCAGGATGGTCTCGATCTCCTGACCTCATGATCCACGCACCTCAGCCTCCCAAAGTGGTGGGATTAGAGGCATGAGCCACAAAGTGCTCAAAAAATCTATTAATTAAAAAATGTGTATGTAGCCTTCTTTAATCTACCATGTCCATTAGCAGATAAATACTATAAGCAAAATAACAACAATGAAAGAAACATAGACTTAGAGTAGATACTCTGATTTATTTAATAAAAATTTGAAAATAGACCAAATTACTCTATGATAAAAAAAATCTGATACTATTGAGGATGAGGGTTAGTGTTTGGAAAGGGGCAGGAGAAGTATCTCTATTTTTAGTAATGTTCTATTTTCATACATGGTTATAAGCAAATACATGTGTTTCATTAATGAAGCTATCCATATTTAATCATTGTACTTTTCTGCATGTATGATATATGTCAATAAATGTCTTAAATTATATACAGCAAAAATAGACAAAAACACAAGAAGACATACACAAATGTTAAACCTAGAGAGAAATTTGAATATAAGTAAGTCTCTGAATGACTGGTAGAACAAACCGAAAAATAGGATGGAGAGTTTTGGAACAGCATGATTAGCAAAATTGCCATATCTGTCTTTTAATATAGGTAGAAACAGAGTTAGATAAAAAAAGGACTTGTCCCGGAGCATGATTTCTCAAAATAGTGGAATCGAGTTTGAATCTAGTAAGTACATATAAATAAATGTCTTAAAACTCCTCTTATGTTAGCTAATTAAGAAATATTATTGTAATAGACATTAGAAAATATTTTAATTGAGTGCATTTCACACGCTAAGGAAGTGATCTTACTTGATTTGATAGTTGAATTAGATACATATATACCTATAGGTAGTTTAAAATATTTCTAATAACCTTATATACTTTTAAAAAGCATTGATATATGCTTTCACTATCTGGTCTATAGATCACACATACCAAACATGATTATAGCTCTTCTGCTATAAACTTCAAATGTCTAATTAATACAAAAATCTAGAATGAGAAGAGTTCTTTGCAATTTTTTTTTTACCAAATAGAATATAGGAAAGATAGCTGCAAATATACCTGACACACTTATCTGTGAGTATGGTGGTAGCCTTTTTATTTTATTTTATTTTGAGAGAGTGTCTCACTTTGTCACCCAAGATGGAGTGCAGTCATGTGATCAAAGCTCACTGAAGCCTTCACATACTGTGCTCAAGTGATTCTCCCACCTCAGTCTCCTGAGTAGCAGGGACTGCAATTGCATGACACCATACTAGCTAATTTTTGTAAAGATGGGGTTTCACCATGTTGCCCTGGCTGATCTCCATCTCCTGGACTCAAGAGATCTGGCCACCTTGGCATCCCAAAGTGCTGGGATTATAGTTTTGGGGCACCGCGATCAGCCCAGCCTTCAAAAAGGCAGACTAGAGATCTTTATCTATGTATATCTATCTATAAAATAAACATATGTGTTCCTTATATAAAAATATATGTTATTATATAAAATTTTATTTCAAGGTAGAAATATATAAAGAGGGTGCATGTAGAGCCTGGGGCATTGTGTAGTGAAGCTCAAGGCCTCTGAAGAAATGCCCCTTGCCTCTTGTGTCTGGGCTAGAATCCGAGAAGGGAAAGCAGCAGATGCACTGGTTCCCAGGATCTTGGCATCCTACAGAGAGACACTTGTTTGAGCTAGGGTAGTGTTTCACACCCTTGTTCTTACTCTTCTGTTTTATGTAGTAAGCAGAGACTAGCTTCATGAGAACAGACAGTGACAGTCAAGGCTGTCTGTTATTTTGTGCAGCATTCATTGAGAAATTCTAGCACCTGAAGACCTCTGGGCCATTTGAGGATAGGTGCAGGGGAGGAAAGGGAAGTTTGCATCCCTCCTGCTGTGGAGAGAACCCGTGGGAAGCACAGACCTTGTCCTAACTGAAGGCAGACCCCCTTGCTAACCAGCTTCTCATCAGCCAACCCTGGATGAGTTTCCATGTCTATTTACTAAATAATCCTTATTGCTCTTCTTCATATGGGCAAAGTATGGTTTACAGGGAATATTGTTCTTTTGAGCACCCATCGTGGAAACCCCTTCCTGTTGTGGGAAAACAGGCTTCCATATGTGTCTTATTGGGAAACACATAGGCAATTTCTATGTTTTTACCGCATCTATTTCAGGGATATGGGAACTGAATAGTGCCCATCAAAGTCTCACCTGATGTTGGAAATTGATCTGAGAGTGTGGAAGGACAGAATTCTTTCTTTGTTCCTGGGCGGCGGTGGTTGAGGGATCATTTTGTGGCAGCTACAGTGGCAATGATGGAGGCAGAATGGAGGGCTCAGTACCAAGACAAGGAGAGACTTGGCCTCACAATGACAGAATTGCAGGGGTGCGCTCTACAGAGCATTTGCTCACATGGTTTTGGGCATTGTCTCTAACTACATTGCTTCCCCAATAGGTTGACCCATTCTAACTAACTCCTTTTCTCTTTAAAAAAGCAAACTTCATTTGTATGACTTGCAATTGTAAACGACACCAATTGGCCAGTTATCATTCAAATTCTCTGTTACTTAATCCTGCCTTTTCTTGACGTATGCAACTATCGCTTAAAAAATTGGACACTTTGTTGCTTACTCATTGTCTTTACACATTTTAAAATGTTGCTTTGTGCCCCCAATCCCTAACTACATTTTCAATGTTTTGCAAGTGGAGTCCATGTGTTCTTGATTTACATGAAGCTCAAAATAATGGTTATAGTAACTAGTACTTCATAATTAAGCAAAAAGCTCTTATTGAAAAATGACAGAACTATACATAGGGATGAGAACATGGAGAGATATTTCGTGAGATCACAAAGTTATGGTATGGCAGAAGTAGAACTCTGAGTAGAGACTCCGTGTTCCCAATCATTATTTCTACCACCAGCTTTCTATTTTGATGTTAATAATGTTCTTATGTGGGAAACCCTACATATTTGCCAATGTTTAGTTCATTGACAAAGAAATAGAAAGAGCTTCAAGAACACTCTATTCTTTAAAAAATAAAATACCTATAATTGGCCATACGAAACAATTGGTACTTGACATATACTGAGATCGTTTTATTTTGTGCTAGACAAATGAAGTCATAGAACAGAATGTGTTTTAAATATTATGAATAGTGCTTGCATGTGTGTGTGTCTGTAGATGCATATTAGGCCGCTGAAAAGTTTTATTATTCTTTCCAGGAGAGAGACTGCCAACTTTTGAACCTAACTAGAACAAGTATATTGCTTCGTCATATTTTTATTAAGGCAAAGAGATTCTAGTTAAAAATAATTCAAATTGTGGTGGAAATGCTATAAATTGCTGTGAAGTGAGTTTCTGGCTATGGCTTGTCAGAGCAAATATATTGTACAAATCTTAGGGGAGAATTAGTGCTTGTGCATTAAAATCAAATCATCTTGCAGCACACCGAGAAAAAGGTTAGATTTTTAAAATAATTTCAAAGTCATGAAAAGAGCAAATATGCTCCACAAAGAGCCTAGCAACCCTCAATGACCAATGCCCCTTTTATATAGTTTGGTATCTGAATTAGAATCCCAGAATCTACAAATTCCTCTGGGTGTGGGTGCTGCATTTTGAGGATTTTATAACACTGCCATCACCAAGCTCTCTTTTGATATTCACTTTAAGGAGATAATTTACAGGCAACCAGAGAGCATAAACCAAAGTAGATATCTATCTAGATAGCTAGATACATCTCCATATCATTGACAGGATACATTCTGGCCGAGTGTGAGTACAACCTATGGATGTGGTTGGAGAGAACAAGTGTTCCACCTGAATGGCAGATCAGGATTATTCCTTCTCATCTGCTGCAATGGCTCAATGTGTTAAGGAGAGGAGCGAGACAGCAAGAACCGCATTCATTCAGTCATACAGACCAAAAGGAGGAATGTCGCCCAGCCCTCTAAACTGACCCAGAACCCAGCTCATGTCTCAACTGCTACCTCTCCTACTTAGAAAGAAGTAACTCCACCAAAGCAGGGCTCTAGACAAATATATTTTTATTGATCATATACAAATAGATGAAGATGGACTTGGATGTTAAGAAAAATAATACTATACAAAAACGAGAGTAGACAGTCGCCCCTAGACTTAAATTAAGGGTGTGTACATTAGGTTATTTAATCCAATGTATCAGGAAAAAACTTGAACAAACCTTTTGGCCTCTTCCTTAAAATCCCAGGATGCATGTCCTCCAAGAAACAGAATCAAAATATAAATAAAAGACTGGCTTAAGATGAAAGGAAACCTTAGAAACGAAAAGAAGCCAGATGAGAGGCACTTAAGTGAGAATGAAAAGAAACTGAGTGGACAAAATAATTATGAGAAGATGAACCTTCAAATCAGAAAGAGGGCAAAAAGCTTATTTGATACTATGGGTACTCAAAAGAGAGTGAACACAAATGTGAAAATTCCAGGAGTATAGAAAAGTAGCATAGCTAAATTAAGAGCATGAGAAAATGTATACAATTTTGAGTAATAAGAACAGAAATCAAAAGTAACTATTGTATGTTATATTTTAGTAGAGCAACACTGAAGAAGAATGAAAACAAGAAATAATATTAAATATGAACATATGGAGAACAGAATAATATTTTTAAAATTTTTAGTTTCTAAGCTTATCTGAAATTTTAATTTCGTTTTCTTATGTAATACCAGAGTTATTAGGAAGGTATTATCTAATAACACTATTTCCAGTGATATTTTAAGTAGTTGTCCTAGAAAAATTTTATTTTTTAAAAATGTATATTTAAAAATACATTAAATGTATATATACATCAATCATATGTATCGATTTCTGTTTTTCTTGAATGGCAAATGAAATTTGTATTTTTGTGTTCCCGAATAAAATAAACTTGAATGGATTGTAATATGTTATTCATGCTGCAATTCAATGTATTTGAATACTTTAAAAATGTTACATTTATAGTTAGCAGATACTGACCTATACATTTTCTGTCATATAATGATGCTGTGAGACAATGTAAGAATTAAAATTTAAATTCATGTATTCCTACTTTTTTCTCTGTTCTCTAATTGTAATATATTTTAATTACAGATGGAGGAACAGATAGATGTTAGATAAATAGATATATAATAGATAGATCATCCAAAATTCTTATTCTTATGGTTTTATGTAGTCAGTATTTACCTCTATTTTTCTACATGTTTATCCTTCCAATTTAGTTCATTACTGCCTGCACCTTTGATGTCATATATATAAACAGGAAATAACATATGGTGGCTAGGATGTAAAGAGAGCCACAGGACTTGTGAATAAAATCCACAGGCAAGGATGTGGCGATTCCTTTTGCAATATTGGAGGGAATGCCAAACCCTATGTTTGCTGTGGAAAAGAGTATGGTAGTTCCTCAAAACATCCAAATGGTATTGCCTTATGATTTGGCAGCCCCACATCTGAAGATAGCAAAAGAATTGAAAGCAGAGTCTTGAAAAAATATTTGCACATCCATGTTTGCAGCAGCATTATTAGCAATAGCTAAAACGTAGAAGCAATTGAAGTGTCCAACCACAGATGAATGGATAAGCAAAACATGATATATACATACAATGGAAAATTATTCAGCCTTAAACATGAGGGAAATATTCTGACATATGTTGCAACTTGGATGAAACTTGAGGACATTATGCCAAGTGAAATAAGTTAGTCAGTGAAGGACAAATACCGTATAATTCCATTTGTATAAGAGACTTAAAGTGGACAGAATCACAGAGATAGTACAATGATGATTGTCAGAAGATGGGGGGGAGGAAGACATGGGGAAGTACTGTTTAATGGGTATAGAGTTTCAGTTTCACAAGATGAAACGAGTTATGGAGATGGATGGTAGGGATGGCTGCACAATGTTATGACTGTTTCGTACCACTGAACTGTACACTTAAAATGGTTAACAGAGTACATTTTATGTTATGTGTATTTTACCACAATAAAAAAATAAAATACCTTAGGAACATTTTCCTGAAAGAGTCCCCATAAAATTCATTTTAATGCATGTGTTTATGCATAGCTTTCTATGTTTCTCTTTTCTATTTATATTCCAAATTAGAATATAATGCTAATGAAGTATAGTGGCTGTGTTTCTTGCTTCCTCTAGTCTGCAGGTAGCATACAAATGTAATAAACTACTCATTAATGTCACATCTATTTATTTTCTGCCTTATACCAAGCTTGTGGGATTCTCTTAAATACAACATTTTTATACTTACACCTATGCAATACCCATTAGCATCGCCTTCCTAAATCAGGGGAAATTGAGTCTCTGTAAGGTGCAGTAACTTACTAAGATACAAAACTCAGCATTAAAGTCTGTATACTTCCTATTTCTCCACATTCTCTCCAGCACCTGTTGTTTCCTGACTTTTTAATGATTGCCATTCTAACTGGTGTGAAATGATATCTCATAGTGGTTTTGATTTGCATTTCTCTGATGGCCAGTGATGATGAGCATTTCTTCACGTGTTTTTTGGCTGCATAAATGTCTTCTTTTGAGAAGTGTCTGTTCATGTCCTTCGCCCACTTTTTGATGGGGTTGTTTGTTTTTTTCTTGTAAATTTGTTTGAGTTCATTGTAGATTCTGGATATTAGCCCTTTGTCAGATGAGTAGGTTGCGAAAATTTTCTCCCATGTTGTAGGTTGCCTGTTCACTCTGATGGTAGTTTCTTTTGCTGTGTAGAACACTTTTACACTGTTGGTGGGACTGTAAACTAGTTCAACCATTGTGGAAGTCAGTGTGGCGATTCCTCAGGGATCTAGAACTAGAAATACCATTTGACCCAGCCATCCCATTACTGGGTATATACCCAAATGAGTATAAATCATGCTGCTATAAAGACACATGCACACGTATGTTTATTGCGGCACTATTCACAATAGCAAAGACTTGGAACCAACCCAAATGTCCAACAATGATAGACTGGATTAAGAAAATATGGCACATATACACCATGGAATACTATGCAGCCATAAAAAATGATGAGTTCATATCCTTTATAGGGACATGGATGAAATTGGAAACCATCATTCTCAGTAAACTATCGCAAGAACAAAAAACCAAACACCGCATATTCTCACTCATAGGTGGGAATTGAACAATGAGATCACATGGACACAGGAAGGGGAGTATCACACTCTGGGGACTGTGGTGGGGTCGGGGGAGGGGGGAGGGGATAGCATTGGGAGATATACCTAATGCTAGATGACACATTAGTGGGTGCAGCGCAACAGCATGGCACATGTATACATATGTAACTAACCTGCACAATGTGCACATGTACCCTAAAACTTAGAGTATAATAATAAAAAAAAATAAATAAATAAAGTCTGTATACTTCAATATCCTGCCCTCGTCTCATGTGTCTTTACTGCCTTTTATGTATGTGTTAGATGTTCAATAAATTCTCTTTTTTAAACTGAATTTAAGCAGTGGAGCAGTGTTTTGTTGAACAATAAATATGATATTGAACACTCTTCCTCCCTTTCATTTATGATGCAGTTTATGAAAAAAAGAAATTCATTGTGCTAGAAGCTTAAAATAATGAAAATGCCACTTTCTACATTAAACAGAAACGGAAGGGAATCAAGGTGAATTGCATGAGACATAGAAAACAAGTGGGAAATAAATCTAGTGTAATTTCCACTTTGTGTACCTTTGTTATTTAGCATTTGAGAACATGTTTCCCCCAAATATCTTCCCATCTTAATTCATGTCTATAAAGTAGACATTTATGTCTCACCTTGTCAAGAAGGGCCAACTCTAACATAAACATTTCCCAAAAATGCTTCCTGCTAAAACGTAAGCTCAGTCTGGCTAGAAATTAAGCTCACTTCATAAAAATTAGTTGGTAGCTAATCTTTGCATGCTGCTCTCTGAACTTCAGTGAAAGCTGTCCATCAGGCATACAGGGAATGACGGAAAACGTGACAACAGAAGATGAATGCTACGTCACTAACCTTCAAAGTGACCTGCCTTTTCTTTCAAATTCTTGATATCTTAAGACTTCATTAATTCATCTCTCTCTGCCCCTGGTTCAACATTGTGCTATACCAAAACTCATGTAAAACAATGATCTATTATAATAAAAATGGCATTTTTCTTTCATGTAGATGCAAGCTATCTGACATTTTTACAATCAACATACTTCCGTTGTCAGTTTTTCATTCTGTATTGGAACTAATTGATAGGTATTTCTGAAGGGATGAAGGTGATTCTGTGTTCATTGTGATCCAAACTTTTTTTAGACCTAGTGGTGTTGTAAAACAATTTGTGCCAGCTAACCAACGACTACTGTGGCAGAAAGCAGCAAACTTGCATAAGATGTAGCTGCCTCATCAGTTGGCTTTGAAAACTAGGGGCTTAGTCTATAGTCCTATAAATCAAAGACATTGATAGATGTAGTATAAGATTACAATCATATTTTCCTTTTGAAAGTCACATTATAAAGCATGATGTATTGCAATTAATCTGAATTAGCTGATGACAATTAAAATTAATAGTTTACTATTGCTGATAAACAATCATGACTCTCCTGTTCTCAAATGTGCAAGGAATTCTGGTAATTTTAATACAAATTTGCATATTATTACTAATTGGTTTAATCTCATTGGATTTGGTTCATGTATCCAATTTATTAAAATATGGATAATGGGATAGTGATTTGTCTCCCCATTTCAGTTACATTAAAATACACAATTCTTACAATGGTCTGCAAGCCCATCATGATCTGCCGCATGTTAACCGCCAAAATTCTTTTATGTCTTCACCCTTGAACTTACCAGTGGTCCTGGCCACCTCACTGTCCTCTGGACATGCCAACATGCTGCTGCCTTATGACCAAGACTCTAGTTAATTTCTTAGCTTGGAAAGATAGCCCTCCATATATCCATTGATGAGCTCATTCAACTTCCTCAAGTCTTTACTGAAACCTCACATTCTCGTTGAGACCTATTCAGTATTTCAAACTGCTTTCCAGCTGCAACAGTCCAAAACCCCTTAGTCTTCTGTGTATTTTTGAAAGGATTTATTGAGATATAATTTACATACTGTAGAGTGCACATAGTAATGTCTACAAGTCAATGGCTTTTAGTATATACACAGATAAGTGGAGCCATCATCACAATGAATTTTAGAGCATTTTCATCACTTCAAAAAGAAACCCCAGCTTCTCTAGCTGTTAACCTCCTATGCACTCATCCCCTACTCAATCCTAAGCAACAACAAATCAGTTTTTTGTCTCTGTAGATCTTCCTATTCTATTTTCATCTAAATAGAATCATACAATAGGTGGCCTTTTGTGCCTGGCTTCTTTCAGTTGGCATAATGCTATCAAGGTTCACATGCGTATTGGTACTTTATTTCTTTTTATAACTGTATAACACTCAATTTCATGGATATAACATTTTGTTTATCCAATAATATTTTGTTGACATTTGAGTTGTGTTCAGCCTTTGGCTAATTTAAATACTGCTGTTAAAATACTTGTGTACAATTTGTGTTTGAACACCTCTTTCCAATACTCTGGGGGTATATCTGGGAATAAATTTCTGGGTCATATGACAATTCTGTTTCATATATTTAGAAGCCATCAACCTATTTTCCAAAGTGGCCAGTTCTATCCATAGACTATCTAACTGTGGTTTTGATTTGTAGTTGCCTGATGAGTGATGCTGTTGAGTATCTTTTTATGGGATTATTGACCGTTCGTGTATCTTCTTGGGATACACAACTATTTCTATCGTTTATCAGTTTTGAGTTGGGATTTTTGTTACTGAGTTAAAACAATTTTTCTATATTCAAGATACATATATAAGCAGACATATAGATATGTGTTTCTCAAATATCTTCTCACAATTTTTGAGCTGCCTTTTGACTTGCTTGGTTGTCCTTTGAAACACCAATGTCTTTAAATTTTAAGAAATTTTAAATATCTAATTTTTATTTTGTTGCTCATGTTTTTGGTGTTACAGCCATTTCTTTGCTAGATCCAAAACCCTGAAGATTTTCGCATATACTTTATTCTAGCTCTTGCATGTATGTCTTTAATTCATTTGAGTTAATATTTTTGTACGCTTTGGGGTAAGGGTTCCAATTTACTATTTTGCAAGTGGCGATCCACGTGTACATTGTTGACCCAGTGTGTTCAAAGACTGTCTCTTCCTCATTGAATTGCACATGGCACCACTTTAAGAATCCATTGACTATAGATACATAGTTTTATATATGGACTCTCAATTCTCTTCCATCAATCTATATAATTTTCCTTCATCAGTATTGTGTTGTCTTGATTACCGATGCTTTGCCATAAGGTTTGGAGCACGGGGGTGTGAATTATCCTAGTATGTTTTCTTTTATCAAGACTATTTTGGCTATTTTGATTCTCTTACCATCCCGTGTGTATTTTAGAATCAGCTTGTCAGTTTCTAGACAGAAGTCTGTTGGGATACTTGCAGGGATTACGTCAAATCTGTAGTTCACCTTGTAAAGTACTACAATATTAAATCTTCCAATTCATGGGTGGAAGATGTTTGCTAATTACTTAGACATTCTTTAAACAATAATTTTTAATTTTCAGAGTAAAATCTTGTATCACATTTTCCAAATTAATTATTATTTCTTTTTTTGATGCTATTTTAAATTGAAGTGTTTTCTTAATTTCATTTTGGGGTTTTCATTGTAGATATGTGTAATTGATTTTTGTACATTTATCTTGTATGCTGTAATATTGCTGAAATAATTTACTAGTTCTATCGTTCAATGGGTTCCTTAAAATTTTCTATATACAAGAATATTATTTTCCAATACAGTTTTATTTCTTCCTGTTCAATATGGGTGACTCTTTTTTTTTAGTTGCCGATTTTCCCTGCGTAAAATCTTTAGTGCAGTGTTGACTAGAAGAGGTCAAAGTATTTATCCTGTTCTTATCTCTGACCATAGCGGGAAGGCATCCTTTACCATTAAGTTGCATGCTCGCTGTTGGCTTTTCACAGGTGCCATATATCTGGTGTAGAAATTTCTCTATTCCTAGTTCATTGAGTTTTTATTTTTAATCATTAAAGCATTTGGATTTTGTTAAATGTCTTTTCCAAATCTATCGACATGATCATGCAATTCTTGTTTCTTATTCTATGGATAAGATGTATTACCGTAATGGATTTTGGGCTGTTAAACCAACCTGAGATTACTAGTATGAATTTCACTTTGTCATAGTGTGTAATTCTTTTATATGTTGCTAGATCTGATTTGTTAGTATTTTTTAAGGAATTTTGCATTTATACTTAGAGTAGTTTTATTTTTCTATGCTATTTGGACTAATATTTGTATCAAGGTAACACTGGCCCCACAGAATAAATTGGGAAGTGAATATTTCTCTTTTTAAAAAAAGTCAGTCAATAATTAATATCAACTAGTAAACACTAACAAATATGATTAATATTATAAATTATTAATTTCTCTAATTTTTATTTTCTTCCTTCTGCTTGCTTTAGGTTTAGTTTTCTATTCTTTCCAGTGCCTTAATGTGGAAGGTCATCTTATCTCCTCCTTTCCTTTGTCTTTTCATTCTCTAAATAGTGTCTTTTTAGCATCAGGTGAGCTCCCCAGGTTGGTAGTACTCCATGTTTATTGTTGTACAACAATGACAGGTAATATGTCCTGAAGACAACGGAAACTTAACATTCAAAATCCTCCTAGATTCCACCTTACGTGATATGTCTCTTCCTTTGATTGGTCCTAATTTCTACCCTTTCTCTATTATAAACCATGAGTACAATGGCATTCAATGAGTTCTGTGAGTCTTTTTAGTAAATTCTTGAAATTGAGGGTGTTCTGGGGAAACCCCTGAACTGGCAGTTGGTGACAAAATTGCGAATCATCTTATATGGCCTCTTCCTTTGAACTTTGCAGCTGGACCCAAACTCTGCACAATTTGGGCCAGAAGTATCGTGTTGACTTTGCAGCCTAAATTATCTTGTAGTTTGTCTAACCCTCAATAAATTTGCTTTCATCAAATATTGTATTTGTTACCCCAAAATTACTATCATGTTTCTTTTCTCCAAATAACTAACATTGGGAGAAATAGCCAGCTGAATCTGTAACTCAACAGAAACAAGTGATCCATATACCATATAAGTGGCCATTTCATTTTGCCTTCTTCCACCAAATCTTAGCAACCTCAACCATTGCCATGAGCCACTGTAGGCCTACCGTCTACAAACAAACAAGTATCTTTTAAAAACACTTCATACTCCCATTTGATAAAATTCCCAGCAAAGAGATGCTTACTTTAACTCTATACAAGTGGCTCATATTCGCAAAGTCTGGACATATTATTCATGTAGTGTGAGAAAATCATCCCAGCGATGCCAGCACATTCTCCTTCCCATGATATGCTTAGTTTGCAAACATATTCAGGCCGTAGGTGAGAGATTTGTATTTCACAGTACAACAATTTTATGGAGGTCATTGAAACTTAGATTTAGCATTTTAGCACAGTCACGCATCACTGAATGACAGGGATACGTTCTAACAGATGCATCCATAGGCAATTTCATCATTTTGCAAACGTCAGAGAGAATATTACAAACACCTAGTTTGTACAGCCTACCACGTTTAGGTTATACGGTATAACCTCTCCTAGGCTACAAACCTGTGTACTACATTACTATACTGATTACTGCAGGCAATAAGAACAGAGTGGTAAGAGTTTATGTATGTAAACATACTTAAACATAGAAAAGCATGTAAAAATATGTATTATAATATCATGGGACCACTTTTGTATATATAATCCATCTCTGACTGAAATATTATTATGCATGACATGACTCTATGACAAAAATAATACATTTAAAAAAATGTACACATGTATCAAACATATTATTACAAAAATAAAAATATTTATTCAGTGTAAGAATTTGTAATGATCACAGCTTATATTTTAGTACAGTTTCAAATGCCTAGTGCAATTACTATTTATTTCTTTGTGTATTTTAAACATGTATATAATAAATATTTTTCAGGTTCAACAATATATATCAATCCTACAGGCTCTTATAAATATTAGTTAAAATCAATTGGTAAATTCATGTATATATATGCATAACTGTATCAGTGAGCGTGTGGGCATGTATGTTTGTGTAAATGTAATTGTATGTGTGTGTAAATGTAATTGGATGCATCCTTATATTTACCCTTACCTACAAGATTTCCAAGATTCATTTATGACCTTTAGATGATGGGAATTTAAAGATTTACCAAATACAACTGTAATAGTGGAAAATATCAAGATGTTATTAAATTCATCTTGTGCACATAATTGTTTCTATAAATTTATGTTTCTTGAAAAACTGGCAGTGATGCTCATGCACAAAATAATTTTCTAAATAAAAAATAAAAATGTTTTCTCAGTCATTAATCCTTAAAATTATTTCTCCCCAATAATTAATGTGAATTAATTCTTAATTCTTAATTATAGAATAATGTTGCCCTTCAGAGTTCGGAAATTTTTACATGTTGTACACATTTCACTAACCAGAACAACTTCTGAAATATTGGCATTAATTAATGTCACTCAGCAATTATTGATTTCAAAGGCATTAAGTACCATTTGTATTCTGAATCACAAGGGTACTTTGGCATCTTATTTAATCAAGCTCTTTGTATCATCATCTACACTTTAATTACTTAACAAACATTTCTCTGTGTGAGAAAGTTTGAGCAGGTTATCTTCTACCCTTGTCTTTTGTCTGATGGTGCAAAAAATTTTCATAAGCATGTATTTCTGAATGCCTGATGGATTGACATATATAATAAGCTGCTAGTATTAAAATGTGTGACATAAAACGCATCCAATCTTCTCACTGTTTACATAAATTCTAGGTTTCTCCTATTTACCTCAAGCACGTATGGAGCGAATTCTTACCTTTTAATATTGCCATGGCATTCACATTGAACATAAGTTGAACTCTCTCATATGGTAGCTGGGTTCGGATTCCCTTGACAATTTCCAGTTCTAACCCTCACAGTTCCTCAGTGTGGCTGGCCCAGATATTGACCCTATACAGTTGCCTCCTCCTGGTGACTACCAGCTATGGAACCGTTGGATACAACCTACCTGACTCACCCCACAGACCTCACAGTGCACATGGACAGCCTCCACACACCAGAGTGACCTGCTTGATTGCAGCAGGAGTCAAGAAATGTGCCTGCTGGCACTCACCCCACCGACTAGTGCCAGCGTGGAAAACTTATTTGGATAATGTTCTGGGCCCAATAAAGGCTGGAGTCCCACAGACCCCTTTTCTCTCTCCTGCTCCCCACTCATCTTCCCCAATTTGTTCAGCCCTATGAGGTGTGCTACTGTATTAGTCCATTTTCACCCCTCCGGTAAAGACATGCCCAAGACTGGGTAATTTCCAGAAGAAAGAGGTTTAATAGATGCACAGTTCCACATGGCTGGGTAGGCCTCACAATCATGGCACAAGCCGAAAGGCACATCTCACCTGGCAGCAGACAAGACAAGAGAGCTTGTGCAGGAAACTCGCCTTTATAAAACCATCAGATCTTGTGAGACTTATTCACTATCAGAAGAACAGCATGGGAAAGACCTGCCCTCGTGATTCAATTACCTCCCAGCTGTCC
>NC_000001.11:125029169-125103213 GCF_000001405.40 Homo sapiens | reverse complement strand
TTCTGTGATTTCCCATGTTTGGTTGTGTGGCCTCCATGTGTCTGAGCTGACCTACACTGGAACCTAACTCTCCTCCTGGCCAGGGTCTCTGAGAGTGGCTCTTGTCAGCAATACACAGGACACAGGTCAGGCAACAGTCACCAGGCATCTCCTAGTCTCAACAGATGTTCTGTGAGAGGGAGGCCTGGTCGTGGGATGCACACCTGGCCACTGCTGGGGTAAGGAAGTGTCCTGTGAAAGGCACATGTTAAGCATCCACAACCCCCTGACCAGAACCCCAGAAAGGCAGGGCTGCAATTGTCGGTCACTCTCCAGAGACAAACATGAAGCCCTAACTGGAGGAAAAGAAAACAATGTAAAAAGTTGAATTTATCTTACTATTTCAATGATACAGTAAAGACATTCTATGCCTGTACACCACATATTTTCTTCGATTGTGGATTTATTTTAGATAGAATTTTAGTTCTGGCTTTCACTTTAGCCTGGTCCCTACCTCAAGCATAAGGTAAAGATTTTCCATGCGTTCTTTTCTGGTACTACTACCTGCCAATGTGGGGTCATGTCCTAGTCTATCTTGAGGGAATCCCCCTGTTCATTATTGTCAGAGTAAGACTGTTAAGTCTTGATTTCCCTGGACAACTTCACTGCATGACTTTTAATATGATTTTTAATATACCCTTTACTGGACAATAAATTGTATAGTTATCTGAGTAAGAGATATGGTCAGGAAGAGGCATTGCCTCATTCAGCTTTTCTCTTTGGTGAACTCGCATACATTCTTCTCACCCGCCAGTCACCTCTAAACCGTATTGTTCCAAGACAACAAACAGAACTCGAGTGTGTTTCACCACTGGATTTCTGTTTGCTCCATAAAGCTTCATGCTTAACAGGGTTTCTGTTAGCATTTTCTCTATTTATTTTCCCATAAAATATCACAGGCCTTCTTCCTATGGAATTATGGGTGATTTCCTTCAATCTGCATCATATCAAGTTGAGTTTCATGTTGAAGAAAAGTAAAGCATACATTGAAAATATCAGTAAGGATGTTTTCCCCTCCTTTTTAGCACCTGTGCTTGTGATACAAGCACATTTTAATGCAATTGTGGTCTCATGCTTTGATCATTCCTATGATGAAAATAACATTTTTAGATAAAATATCTGAGCTTTATGAGGCCTTTAGCATGTGATGTGATAGAATATCAGAAGACCATACTTTTTTCTAGGTTTCCGTGCAATTCTGTCATTATTTCATCTTTACTCCTACCAGAGTAATTTTGCAAAATAGATATCTTGTCATTCTTCCTGTTGTTATCAGTAAATAAGTGAAATGAAAAGCTAGATTATATAATCTATTTAGAACAAGAAAGTGGAATTGAATCTATATTCATTAATGAGAGTAACCAGTCAATTACACAGATAGGCATTTTACATTTTGAAGATCATATGGACCCATTGTCAGAAATATTATTATTTATGTCTATATGGACATCACCTGGGCATATTTACATAGAAATCAATGAGAGCTGATTTTTATTTTTATTATATATATTTTTTGAGATAGGGTCTTGCTTTTTTGCCCAGGCTGGAGTGCAGTGGTGCAATCACTGCTCACTGCAGCCTCAGCCTCCCAAGCTCAAGCAATCCTTCCCCCTTGGCCTCCCAAATAGCTAGGACAACAGGTGTACATCACCATGCCCACTTTTTTTTATTATTATACTTTAAGTTTGAGGGTACATGTGCACATTGTGCAGGTTAGTTACATATGTGTACATGTGCCATGCTGGTGCACTGCACCCACTAACTCGTCATCTAGCATTAGGGATATCTCCCAATGCTATCCATCCATGTCCCTACAAAGGACAAGAACTCATCATTTTTTATGGCTGCATAGTATTCCATGGTGTATATGTGCCACATTTTCTTAATCCAGTCTATCATTGTTGGACATTTGTGTTGTTTCCAAGTCTTTGCTATTGTGAATAATGCCACAATAAACATACGTGTGCATGTGTCTTTATAGCAGCATGATTTATAGTCCTTTGGGTATATACACAGTAATGGGATGGCTGGGTCAAATGGTATTTCCAGTTCTAGATCCCTGAGGAATCGCCACACTGACTTCCACAATGGTTGAACTAGTTTACAGTCCAATCAACAGTGAGAAAAACAAGCAATGGGGAAATGATTCCCTATTTAATAAATGCTGCTGGGAAAACTGGCTAGCCATATGTAGAAAGCTGAAACTGGATCCCTTCCTTACACCTTATACAAAAATCAATTCAAGATGGATGAAAGACTTAAACGTTAGACCTAAAACCATAAAAACCCTAGGAGAAAACATAGGCATTACCATTCAGGACATAGGCATGGGCAAGGACTTCAGGTCTAAAACACCAAAAGCAATGGCAACAAAAGACAAAATTGACAAATGGGATCTAATTAAACTAAAAAGCTTCTGCACAGCAAAAGAAACTACCATCAGAGTGAAAAGGCAACCTACAAAATGGGAGAAAATTTTCGCAACCTACTCATGTGACAAAGGGCTAATACCAGAATATACAATGAACTCAAACAAATGTACAAGAAAAGAACAAACAACCTCATCAAAATTGGGCGAAGGAAATGAACAGACACTTCTCAAAAGAAGACATTTATGCAGCCAAAAAACACATGAAAAAATGCTCATCATCACTGACCATCAGAGAAATTCAAATCAAAACCACAATGAGATAACATCTCACACCAGTTAGAATGGCAATCATTAAAAAGTCATGAAACAACAGGTGCTGGAGAGTATGTGGAGAAATAGGAACACTTTTTTTTTTTAACTTTTGATAGAGACTGGGTGTTGCTATGTTGCCCAGGTTGCTTGTGAACTCCTGGGCTCAAGGAATCCTCTCATTTCAGCCTCTTCAACTGCTGATATTACAAGCATGAACCACCATACGGGATGGAAGCTGATTTTTAAAATACTGAAATCATATAGATGACAGCACCTGAAAAATAGACAACACCAAGCTTTATGTTAAAAGGTGTGAGGGTATCAATATTGTTGTGGCTATTGGGGAGGAAAACATTAGTAAAACCTGTAAGTTAAAGCTCTTGCTTTAAACTTTGGCTTTAATTTAACAAATGTTCTATGGAGTGACAGTATGTATGTAACCATGCTATGCCCATTCACAGGTGCAGTAGAGGGAAGAATTTCTCAAAGACAACTGTTCTAAGACTCAAATTAAACCGTCCTGGGTTTGAAAAGAGAAAGTCCAGGAATTACCAAATATTTTAGATATCACATACAAGAGAATGCCAGGTATGCGATGATAATCAGCAATGGTTGTTCACACAACACATCAAATCAGTATTTGAATTAGCTTTTGAATTACAAGGACAAATGGATCAAGTCTAGACTCTTTAGTAGATAAATCTTATTAGGCTGAGATGTGTTTTCCCCTGTTTTTCCACAAGGAGATTACAAATTGGCAAACCTCAGCTGCTCTCATTTTATGCTCTCACCAAGCCAAAAGCTGAAGTTCATCAATCAGTGTGTCTAAGTGTTCACTGGCTATATACCATTTTGTAGTTTCAGCTATCTTTCCAACTTCCTACATCATCACGTTCATTTGATCTTGTTTTTTTCCACTATCACTTCTTTATTGACCATATGAAGAATATAAGTAAGTTCTTATTTTGTTATTGTTCATTTTAGTCTACTTTCATCAAAAGATCACAATCTTTTAATTTCATTTTAATTTCAAAGATTAAATGAAACCTACATAGAAATGAATGTAAGATTTGCATTTGCATTATTTTGGCATCAATTTGCTATCCTCCCTCATGCACATAGAGATCATTTCCATGTACGTGATTTCAAACATCCAAGTGCAGTATTAAAAGCAGTTGTAAATTATGGTTCTCATTTTCATGATACAATTACAAAATAAACTTCCTCTTGCTGCTGTAACCAATTACCATAAACTTCATATCTTACAATAAAGTGACCGTTAATCCCACAGTTCTCTAGTTCAGAAGCCTTAAATTAAACTCACAGGGCTAACATCAAGTTTTGGGCCGGGCTGCAGTTTTTCTGAAGGCTATTTGGCAGAATCTATTACTTGATTTTTTTCAGCATCCAGAGGCCACCTTTATTCCTTGGAACATGACCTCATTCTTAGATCCTATTTTTCTTTTTCTTTTTTTTTTTTTTTTGAGATTGAGTATCCTTCTGTCACCCAGGCTGGAGTGCAGTGGCACGATCTCAGCTCACTGTAACCTCTGCCTCCCGGGTTCAAGTGATTCTTCTGCCTCAGCTTCCTGAGTAGCTTGGATTACAGGCACTTGCCACCACGCCCAGTTAATTTTTTGTATTTTTAGTAGGGATGGGGTTTCACCATGTTAGCCAGGATGGTCTCGATCTCCTGACCTTGTGATAAACCCACCCCAGCCTCCCAAAGTGCTGGGATTAGGCGTGAGCCACCACGCTGGGTCCTCATTCTTGTATCTTAAAAGTCAGTGATGTTGAGTAATTTCTCATGCCATCACCTCCAAGGTTGCCTTTCTTCTGCCTTCTCCTTTCACTTATAAGGAAGTTTGTGATTTCATTGATCCCACCCATTTAAGACAATCTCTCTATCATTTTTCCGCAATCTTAATTTCACTTGAAATCTAATTTCACACTGCCGTGCAACCTAACATATTTGTATGTTAGACTCTGGGAATTAGGACATGAAAATATTTGGGAGGCCATTCTTTAGCCTACAGCAGACAAAATCTGTTTACCTGCAGATTAAAGCGTTCTATATTTTTCTGTCTCCCTCTCTTAATTTTTTTAAAATAATATTAATTGTAGTAAAGAGAAAGAAAGAAAAGAAAACAAAGAAAGAAAAAGAAGGAAGGAAAGAAGGAAGGAAGGAAATAAAGAAAGAAGAAAAGAAAGAGGAAATGAGGGAAGGAAGGGAGGATGGGAGGAAGGGAGAAAGGCAGGAAGGGAGAAAACAGAAAACATGAACACGAGAAAGAAAGAAGGAAGGAAAGAAAGAAAGAAAGATAGAAAGAAAGAAAGAAAAAGAAAGAAAGAAAGAGAAAGAAAGAGAGAAAGAAAGAAAGAAAGGAAGGGAGGAAGGAAAGGAGGAAGAGAGAATGGTAAAAGGGAGGAAGGCAAAGAAACAAAGAAAATAAACAGGCGAAGGAAGGAAAGAAAAAGAGGAAAGGAAGGGAGGGAGGAAGGAAGGAATGGAGGGCGGGAGGATGGAAGAAAAAAGGAAAGAAAGCAAGAACATGAGAAAGAAAGAAAGAATATGAGAAAAGAAGGAAGAAAAGGGAGGGAGAAAGGAAGGGAGGGATTAGGGAAGGAAGAATAAGAGGAAAGAAACAAAGAATGAAAGAAGGAAGGAAGGAGAAAAAAAAAGAAAAGAAAGAAAAGAAAAAAGAAAAGAAAAGGAAGAGGAAAAGAAGAAAGGAAGGAAGAAGGCAAGGGAAGGAAAGAGAAGAGAAAGGAAGATGGAAAGAAGTTAGGAAGAACGCAAATGTTATAAATTCTGGGTTTGTTAGAGAATATGCCATACTGTTTTTTTTTCACTTGAAAGGAAAGAGTATCTGCCATTGAAGATTGGATGTCTTGTTGGTGATATTGTTCTTAACTTCCACATGATTACTGAGTTTGTGCCTAGTCTTTCCATTACTAAGACAAAAGTGTTGAAGTCTGCAAATATAATTTTGATTTTTTCTAGTTCACCTTTGAATTCTTTCCTGTTTTACCTCATGTATTTGGAGGTTCTGTTGTTAGCTGCATACCCTAATTAGTAGGATGTTTACATCTTCTTGAGAATTGATGATTGTATTATCTATTATCTCTCATCTCTGATACTATTTCTTGTTCCAAACTCTGTTGTGTCTAATATCAATGTAGTCCTTCCACAGCCTTATTTTAGTGTTTCCATGATATGGCTTTCTCCATATCTTGATGATAACCTCTTTATATCTCTATATATTTGGAGCAAGATATAGAATTTAGACTTGATTTTTTAACGATCTTTCAAGATGTAATTCTTATTTCTTTTTGTTCTATTTGACATTCTCTGAGTTTCCTATATTTGAAGTTTGATTCTCTGTCACTTCTTTTAGAATATTTTTGGCAGGTATTTTGAAAAATATTTCTTTTGCTCCATTATTTTTCCCTCTTTTCTTTTTGGGATTTCATTCGTAACTAGAGTAGGTAATTTCATCTCAGTCTTATGCAGGTACTTTTTCTCAGGGTCTCAGGAATGTAGCCTTCTCACACTTCTGTTCTTTTCCTGGCTGTGTTGGTGAGCTCAGTGATATTCCTCCTTCACCTTCAAGAGCAGTTTTGTTTTGTTTTTCCTGTTTTCATACTCCCAGCATCAGGAGGATCCTAAGTGTGGCAGTTTTTGTTGCCTTCCCCTACATATTAAGTGGAATATCTTGCTCTATTTGGACTCTTATAACAAAATAACATAAACCGGGTGACTAAAAAACAACAGATATTTCTTTTTTCACACTTCTTGAGGCTGTACGATCTCAGGTCAAGATGCTCACAAATTCAGTGTTGATAAGAGCTCATTTCATGGTTCATAGATGGTGCCTGCTTTCTATGTCCTCACATAGTGGAAGGCACACAAGAACTCCATTGAGCTTCTTTTATAAAGGCACTAATCCCATTCATAAGGGCTCGGCCCCCAAGACCTGGTCACCTCCCAAGTGTTCTGCTCTCCCTGATCTGTGTCATATACAGACTCTCTTGGATTCCTTACCAATTGCTTGAGAGATCGCAGTGGGTTTGTGGGGAAAAAGTTTTCAAGATGATGGATCTTTCCCAACTTCTGCAGCTGTCAGTGGTCTCCCAATCTCACCAGCCCCACTTTGTCTTTAGGAATTTATTGATTATTCCAGCTTTACTTGTCATGGTGGTGCCTATTTGCATCTGTCCTATGTAAGTGCATCCGTCCTCTTTCTCCTTGCAGGTGCTTGTTTTCCCTCACATTTTCACTCAGATCTTGGCAACCTCGTTGCTATAAAAATAAAGTCATGACTTTGAAGTTAGTTTGGGTCTTTCATTGTTGTCAGGTTTTGAACCCTATTCCATCCCAGATCTCCAAAACCCAGACTTTTTGGGGGTTGAAATTTTAGGCTTTCTCTTTGAATTGTAGTTTTATCTTCTTTCAGTTACCATTTGCATTTTCCTAATGATTAATGAGACTAAGATTTTTTTGTGTAGTTGACTGTACCTTTGGATTTTTTCCCCAAATACCTTTTTATTTCTTCTTTTCTTTATGGTTTTAGAAAAGGTAGTTTACATAATTGCAGCTTGATTTTTTACTCAGTTAATGGCATGCTTAATGGAGAGAAAAAATATTAAATATATTTCCCTTTTTAATTACTGTGCTTTTCTCTTTTCTAAGGAAATGTTTCATTATGTTAAATTTCAGTGTTATTCTACTTAGCTATTCCTTAAATATTATAGTATTTTGGATTTCACATATAAATTTGTAACATATCTTGAGTTTATTATGTATAGAGTAAGGCTATTTTCTCTTTTTGTTTTTTAAGGTAAAAACCACATAATATAAAATTAATAACCACCATTTTAAAGCATACAATGCACTTGCTTTAAGCATATTCACAATGTTCCAAGGCCATTTCATCATGCCCCTTCCAAAAACCCATTATGCATAAAGTTGTTACACCCTAATCTGCTTCCTTGAGCCCTAATGACCACTAATCTGATTTATATCCCAATTGATTTGCCAATTCCTGATGTTTCATGTGAATAAAATCAAGTGATATTTGTCCTTTTGTGCACTTAACATAATTCTTTCAAATTTCACCAATATTATACCACATATAAGTACTTCATTCTTTGTTATAGCTGAAACTTGGTTGTCCATTTATGAGTCAACAAGTATATGGATTGTTTCCACTTTTTGACTGTATAAATATTACTGCTGTAAATATTCATGCACATGTTTATTTCTTGAGCACCTATGTTTTGTAAGATTAACAGCTGACTTAAGAGAAACAATGGAAGCAAGAGGCAGTAGAATAATATATTCGAAAGATGCAAAGGAAAAAAACTCTCAGCCATGAATTCATTATCCAGCAATTATTTTTCAAAAATGAAGATAACACAAAGACTTACCCAGATAAACAGAAATATTAACTGAAGTTGTTGCTGGCAGACCTACTATATAAAAAAATACTCTAAAATAAATTCCTAAGGCTAAAAGCAAGTTACAGAAGACAGTCACTTGAATCCACATTTTAAAAAAAGCACTGGTATAGGTAATACTGACATTATAAAAGGCAGTAAAAATGCATTTTTTCTCTTTATCATAAATTGTTTATTAAATAACATGTGTCTAATGGCCAGGCACGATGGCTCACACCTGTAATCTCAGCACTTTGGGAGGCCAAGGCAGGCGTATTATGAGGCCAGGAGATCGAGACCATCCTGGCTAACACAGTGAATCCCCGTTTGTACTAAAAATACAAAAAATGAGCCGGGCGTGATGGCGGGCGCCTGTAGTCCCAGCTACTTGGGAGGCTGAAGCAGAAAAATGGCATGAAGCCGGGAGATGGAGCTTGCAGTGAGCAGAGATTGTGCCACTGCACTCCAGCCTGGGTGACAGAGGGAGACTCCGTCTCAATGATAATAATAATAATATGTGCAGAATGTATTGCTGAGTATTTGACATGTAGAAATGGAATACGTCTATAACATATTTTCCAGTAACATCAAAAAGGAGGTAGTTGGAAGAAAAATGTATTGTGATAAGGTAATAACTCTAGATGGTAAAGTAATAATTACTAAAATGTATTGTTGGCTTTGTAACTTTAATAGATGTAATGTGTAAAGTGATAATACTTTAAAATGGAGGAAAGAAAAGAGATTTATATAAGAATGATGTTTCTATGTATTACTAAAAGTTTACTAGTATAAATTGGAAGATGGTTTGAATAATTAATTTTCCATATACCTATATGGTAAACTTACAACAACAACAAAAATTATCAAAAATATATAATAAAATAATTCATTAGTAATCTAAAGTTCCCTATTTTAGAAAATATTCTTTCATTGCAAAATAAAGCAATAAAGAAAATTATTTGAGAAATATATAAAACAAACGGTAAAATGGCAGACATAAATAGAATTATACCAATTATAATCTTAAATGTGAGCAGATTAAAATCCATTCCAGAGGCAGAGATTGTCAGACTGGATTAAAACAAGTGATCCCAATATACGCTGAGATGCAAGGATACTAATGGATTGAAAGTAAAAAGATGACAAAAAATATCATGCAAAGAGTAATCATAAGAACACTGAACTCATTGTACTCATAACACACAATATAGACTATTACAAATGTGAATAGGATTTTAAAAATTTATATTGTAGTAAAAAGGGGGTCCACGCTTTAGGAAGACATAGCTATTACAATCATGCATGCACGGATAGGAGCTAAATTGTTTCCTCTATATAGATGCTGAAATTCTAACCACTGAATATGACCTCATTAGGAAATAAGTTCTTTGCAGCTGATCAAGTTAAGATACAATCAGATGAGCCTGAATTCAATATGACTGATGTCCTTGTTAAAAGAAGAAATTTGAGTAGGGGGAGACATACACACAGAGAGAGTACCATGTGATTTTGAGGACAGAGATTAGCCAAGGAATGCCAAAGACTGCCACTAAACCACCAGAAGTGAGAAACAAGGCACAGAGCAGGCTTTCTCTCATAGCCCTTGAAGGGACCATCCCTGCTGACACCTCAATCGCAGACTTTTAGCTTCCAGGAGTATAAGACTATAAGACTATAAATGTATGTTGTCCAAGACACCCAGTTTGTGTTACTTGGTTATGGCAGCCCTAGAAAACTAATACATGAACTAATAACAAAGCATAATAACATGAAGCAAAAATTGACAAAAGAGGAGCATCAGCAAAATGGCAGTGGAGACAGCTGCAATCTTTCATTTCCCCACAGAAACATCACACAACTAAGAGAAACTGTCCGAATAAACTTCGCCAAAACTCTGGAAAATGGTCAAAAGATTACAACAACCAAGTGAAAGCAGACTCAAGAAAAAGACAACTGGAAAACTTTACGACATTTTTAACTTGCCTTTGCCCCAGCAAATTGGCAGTTCTGAAGGGTCAGAAGCCCACGTTCCCAGTGAGGAAGCCTGGTCCATGGTCCAAAGGAACAAGAGAAGATCTTACCCGCAAATTATGATGTGTCTGTTCTGACTGGTCTGGGGGATACCTAAAGAACTCCTGAAAGGCTTTTTTTTTTTCTGTGTTGCTAGAATACAGAACAGATAAGGAATGGACATTATTAAGAAACTCTGCAAGGAGACCTAACAAACCACAGATGCTTAGGCCAAAAATTAAAGTTTACGCATATAGTAGATCACCTTCAGCACAGCAAGAAAAGTTGGGGAACAGTATTTCAAAAACTAAGATATACAAAATCATTCACGTACATGGGAGAGTCTACAAAGTCACATGTATTCATAGGTTAAGCCACATGCTGACAAATGTCATAAGAAGACCCTACACTTTTACCTTGGCCGATCCCTCCCCTCAGTGCAAGCTCTGTGCAAGAGTGAAATTGAACTTCACTCAGTGCAAGAGTGAACACACACTTTGTGCCGGCTTTAAAGAACCCAGCACAAAGCCAGTCTGCATGGCCTAGAGACATATTTTGCTGGACAATGATTACTTGTTTTTCTTTTTGTTTTTCTTGTATTTGCCTGTTTGATTGGTTCCTGACATACCAGAACATCACTGTCAAAACATTAGCTTAACATTTGTTAAGGAAACAAAAAGACTTCGGTGACCACACCTTATAAACCAAACAGTTTTGTAAATCACTTTGGAAAATTTCACTAAAAAAAAAAATCCTTAACCATATAATAAGTAAAGAAAATTTAAAACCACAAAACGTTACTGTGTTTGTAGGGGGGGGGGTCTGATTTACCGAGTAACCACATGGTAATTATAATTATTAGAATGTCCAGTTTTCAAAAAACGTTACAAGGCATACAAAGAATGGGAAAGTGTGGCTCATTCAAAGGACCAAAATAAATTGACAGAAAATATCCCTAAGGAAACCCAGACATCAAACTTACCAGACAAAGACTTTAAAACAACTCTCTTCGTTATACTCAAATGTCAAAAGGAAAACATAAAGAAAGAAATAAAGGAATCAGAAAAAATATTAAAAAGTAGGAATATCAGCAAAGAGATAACAGAAATTCTGGAGTGGAAAACTACAGTGATAAAAATTTAAAAATCACCAGAGGGATTTAAGAGTATATTTGCACACACAGAAGAAGCCATGAACTTGAAGAGAAGAAAATGGAAAATACTGACTCTGAGAAACAGAAAGAATAAAAAATAAACAATGAGCAGAGACTAATGAATCTGTGGGAAATCATCAAATAGACCAACATTCATATTCTGGAAGGATAAATTATGTTGTTAAAAAGTTTACCATTCTTTCTTTTCACCTTTCTTCCTTCCTCCTTCCCCCTCCTCCTCCTTTTTACTTTTCTTCCTCTTCCTTTCTCTTCTATCTCCTTCATTATCCCTTTCGCTGTTTCTCTTTCTCCCTTTCTCTTTTTTCTTTTCTTTCAATTTTCTCAATTACTAAGAGATGTTTAAGTACCCTTAGCATGTTAGTAGATACGGTTATTTCTCCCTTTAGTTCTCTTTTGAGATTTATAGTCACTCAAGTAAAGGGATAACCCAAACATAAGCGTCACAAACAGGCTTTCATACCATTCTTAATTTGGTACTGTAATTCTTCATTGCTGTATTAACTTTCTGATGCTTTTAAGGATGTTTTATAACAAATTCTGTAGCTTTTTCCAATGGAATGTTTATTCTGAATTATCTAATTCATATTGTAAGTATAGAGGGAGTTTAATATAAAATAATTAAACTAATATTTGTGAAAGAATGTATTTGTGCATTTAACAAATATGTTAATCCTCAGACTGTTATTGGGCAGCTGAGCATACAGGAATAAAAATAACACAATTTTTATGTGTACAATATTTATGGAATACTTTACTGGACCCAATAAATAATTTAGTTAATAACATGACAAAGAACAGAAATTGTATACATAATAGAGCATAGTAATGGAATAATGAATGATTAAAGTTATTAATATTAGGTAGAAAATGAAGGGTACCTTTGAGAGCAGAACTCAAGGAAGCAAGCAATTCGCCTTATGAGGAAAGAGTTACCTGTGGATAAAGGAGAAACTGAAAAATTTACAAGTCAAGACTTTTTGAGCAAAAACAAAGAAAAATGACTATTAGTCACAAATTCAGTACAGTGAAAAAAAAGTTGAAGAGATATCTTGGAAGTAAACCATGTTGTGGAAGAGCATGTAGGGTTTTGATAATCATGGGATGATTCTGAATTAATTTTAAATGCGATAGGAATATACGAGATAATTTCACCAGAGAATAACATGATTGTGTTTGCATTTCAAAGGGGTGTATCTGGTGCACTGTGTAGAATAAATAGGTTATGTGAGCAAATAAATTGGGAGGCTACTCTAATCCAGCGAAAAAAGGTAGTGACTTAGGTGAGAATGCTGTCAGCATGAGTGGTAGTAGTGGTGAGAAGTCGTTAGGCCATGGATGTATTTCATAGGACTGGCCAAGAGAACTGCAGCTAAATTGGAGTGTAGGGAGTGAAATGGAGAACTCAAAGATGACTCTCAGCACTGGAAGGTGACAGCTGTCACTGAAGCATGCTGATGCCTCTTATTAAGACAGTTACTTGGGAATGGCAAGATCAAAACTTCTCACTTTCAAATTTATGAAAAATATTGTTTTCAGAATGAATGACTTTGGGATCACAAAGCCACCATTCTAATTGATGGTTCCACGACTGCACGGGCTCACACTCCCAAGAGCAAAAGTAAATCATCACAAAGGTGCTTCTTGATAATTCTAGAGAATGGAGAATTACTGTAACATCTTTCTGATTTTAGGAGAGGTAGCAGTTCCCTTTTTACCCTAAACGCTATTTTTGTTTAAAGCTCAACCAAGAGACTCCATTATAATTTTCAAATGTGTGTAACTTAAATTCTCATATGAAATACCACTATGCTTAAATGAGTCAAAACATTTTCCCCATCTACAACTCTGTCTTGTCATTGCAATCATTTTCACAAAAGTGACTGCAGCTCACAGACCCTAAAAGGAGAAAATCCAGGGTAGGTTATCTGATCTAGTTAGTTTCGAAGACAGGATCTAGAGATTATTTAATATGAAATAGGTCACCTGAAATGAAGTGTTTACTGAAAACAGCTTGGATCAGCCCAGTTTTCTACCACTGAACCATGCATTTGGTTTAAAAAACACAACAACTCTGGGGAATATCAGCTGCTTCCAACTGTGTTGAAGGTGTTAAAGAAAAGGGCATACAATTTAAAATGATCATCTGAGGCCTTTATAGTGTCTGCTCAAGAGACTAGAGTCTTCCTTTCTTAACGAAACACCCAAATATCTTAATAATTGGGCAAAATCTAAATATCAGAGATAATTTTATCTTGAAGATTGCTAAATTATAACGGTGATTCACTACCTTGCCACGTCTCTGAGTCAAAAATTAGGTCTTTGTTTAGGAATCAATCATAATCTGCAATTTGGAAATAGGAAGATTTTAGAAGACTCAGACATTGACTTTCTTGTGTGCAAAAAAAAGACGTATTGAGATAAGACAAGTCTTTCCTTGCAAGGATACCTCTAATGCTCATACACCACCTCCCCTAACATTAATAGAGCTTCCAGGTCACTAACCAGTGTCAGAGAGCAGCCCATGCAACTAGAAATTCAAAAGATGTCGAACATAGGGTCAAGCTTAGAAGAAGACGTCTTAGCTAATTAAGTATGCTTTTTTCCCGAAATTCATATTAACAAAATCTTGGATATGTCAGAGAATGCATTCTAAGTTCACTCAACCTAGGAGGGAGAAACATAATTTTAAATTAAGAGCTGAAGCATTCTTGTCCTAACACAAAGCAAGGAAAACGAAATATCACACCACAGGAGGGATTTCACAAATTTGCGTCAACATCAAAACCTTAAAATAGGCAAGGAGAATGCAGATTCACAATGAACTCCTGTACTTGTTTTGTTCAGAGAAGAGATGGTTCTGAGAGAATGACAGTGAACTATCCCCAGCTGGTTTAGTTGGTGCTTTCAACTACTGCTTCTGATCAACTCCTTTAGCTAGAATAAATTGATGAGGATTTTGGCATGTGGTATTAGAGATGGTTATTAATTTTTTCCTCTTATTTGCATTGTTTAATATAGTAAATACTAGCTGTATATGGCTACTTCAATTCAAATTAATTACAATGAAATATACTTAAATATTGAATTTCTTAGTCACTCTTGGTTCATTATTGAATATCTTCAGCTAAGATTTCCCAACTAAAGACACTAAGAGGTGGCTTAGTTAACTGGTCATCCACAAATATTGAAGCTGTTGTTAACTCCTGATATATTCTCTGCAAAGAGAATACTCATGAGCCTCCTCCTGAAATCAGCAGCCTAGAGATAGTTTTATAAACTGGATACAAGTTGGAAATCTATATCCTCTTTAAGTGTTTCAAATATTAGCTTCCCAGGGAATAAAATCAAATTCATAAGATATGTTAGGACAATTTAACTCAAGATGTTCAAAACTGAAATGACATATTCTACAACATGTGATAAAACCACCCCCTAACAACTTAAAGCAAAACAGGGATGGACCTTAAAGACCTGCCTTTTCCTCATCCCCCAGCCAATCAGTTTTCAAATCTTGCATTTTATTTTGAAAGGTCCCTATCCCCCTGGTCTCTTGTTTCTAGACTTGGTACATATTTAAGTTTGTTACCTCTCTCTACTGACTTTTCTCTCTTCAAACAGTATCTATGCCTGCCAAATGTGAACGTACAAGAAACAAATCAGAATGTGACATTCTGATTTAAACTGGTTATTAGTTAATACCCTCAAGATAACATCTGGGTTCTTAGCTTCAATGAGTCAAGCCTACTTACATCTTTTTTTGTCTTTGGCTGCACATTTCCTGTCACATCGCACTCCAGCAATGCCAAGCTGTGCCGGCCTTCCACCCCATCTCCATTATTTCGCCCTCCGCCGCCACGGCTTTTTGCCCCCCCGCCGCCGCGGCTTTTTGCCCCCCCTGCCGCCGCGGCTTTTTCCCCCACCGCGCCTCGGCTTTTTGTCCGCAGCGGCTTTTTGCCCCCACAACGCCAGGGCTTTTTGACCCTTCGCCGCTGCGAATTTTGCCGCCCTGGCTTTTTGCCCGCCGCGGCTTTGTCCCCCACCCGCTGCCGCGGCTGTTTGCCCCCTGCCGCTTTTTGCCCCCCGCCGCTTTTTGCCCCCCCCGCCGCCGCGGCTTTATCACCGCCGTGGCTTTTTCCACCCTGCCCCCGCGGCTTTTTACCCCATGCGGCTTTGTGCCCCCCCCCACCGCCGCGGCTTTTTGCCCCCCCGCCACTGCGGCTTTTTGCGCGCCGCGGCTTTCTAGCCCTGGCCGCCACAGCTTTTTGTCCCCCGCCGCCGTGGCTTTTTGCCCCACCGTCGCCGCGGCTTTTAGCCCCCACCCCGCCTCGGCTTTTTGCCGCGACCCCGCCGCGGCTTTTTGCCCGGCGCGGCTTTCTGCCGACCCCGCCGCCGCGACTTTTTGCTCCCAACACGCCTCGGCTTTTTGCCCGCCGCGGCTTTTTGCACCCCCGCCGCCGCAGCTTTTTCCCGCCCGCCCCAGCGGCTTATTCCCCCAACCCCGCCTCGGCTTTTTGCCCGCCGCGGCTTTGTGCCCCCGCGGCGCCAGGGCTTTTAGCCCGCCGCGGCTTTTTGACCCCTCGCCGCTGCGAATTTTGCCGCTGCGGCATTTTGCCCCCCTTCGCTTTTTGCACCCCGCCGCTTTTTGGTCCCTGCCGCCGCGGCTTTTTCCTCGCCGTGGCTTTTTCCCCCCTGCCCCCACGGCTTTTTACCCGCCGCGGCTTTTTGTCCCCACCCTGCCTCGGCTTTTTGCCCACCGCGGATTTTTGCCCCCCGCCGCCGCGGCTTTTTAGCCCCTGCCGCCGCGGCTTTTTGTTCCCTGCCGCCGCGACTTTTTGCCCGCCGCGGCTTTTTACCCCCCGCCGCCGTGGCTTTTTGCCCCACCGCTGCCGTGGCTTTTTGCCCCCACCCCGCCTCGGCATTTTGCCCGCCGCAGCTTTGTGCCCCCCTCGCCACCGCGGCTTTTTGCCCGCCGCGGCTTTCTGCACCCCACCGCCGCCACGGCTTTCTACACCCCTGCCACAGTGGCTTTTTGCCCGGGGCGGTTTTTTACCCCCGCCGCCGCGGCTTTTAGCCCCCACCCCGCCTCGGGTTTTTGCCCGCCACGGCTTTGTGCCCCTCGCCGCCGCGGCTTTTTGCCCGCTGTGGCTTTCCGCCCCCACCCCCCTGCCGCCGCCGCGGCTTTTTGTCCGCAGCGGCTTTTTAGCCCCCGCCGCCGTGGCTTTTTGCCCCACCGCCGCAGCGGCTTTTTGCCCCCACCACGCCTCGGCTTTTTACCCGCCGCGGCTTTGTGCCCCCATCGCCGCCGCGGCTTTTTGCCCGCCGCGGCTTTCTGCCCACCCCGCCGCCGCGACTTTTTGCTCCAATCCCGCCTCGGGTTTTTGCCCGCCGCGGCTTTTTCCCGCCCCGCCGCCGCGGCTTAATCCCCCCACCCCGCCTAGGCTTTTTGCCCGCCGCGGCTTTGTGCCCCCTCGGCGCCAGGGCTTTATCCCGCCGCGGCTTTTTGACCCCTCGCCGCTGCGAATTTTGTCGCCGCGCCTTTTTGCCCGCTGCGGCTTTTTGCCGCCCCCGCCGCTGCGGCTTTTTGCCCCCCGCCGCCTTTTGCACCCCGCTGTTTTTTGCACCCCGCGGCTTTTTGCCCCCTCGCCGCCGCGGCTTTTTCCCCGAAGTGGCTTTTTCCCCCCTGCCCCCGCAACTTTTCACCCGCCGCGGCTTTTTGCCCCCACCCCGCCTCGGCTTTTTGCCCGCCGCGGCTTTCTGCCACCCACCTGCCGCCGCGGCTTTTTGCCCCACCGCCGCGGCGGCTTTTGCCCCCACCCCGCCTCGGATTTTTGCCCGCCGCGGCTTTCTGCCACCCACCCGCCGCCGCGGCTTTTTGCCCCACCGCCGCCTAGGCTTTTTGCCCGCTGCGGCTTTCTGCCCCAACTCGCCGCCTCGGCTTTTTGCCCCTCCGCCGCCGCGGCTTTTTTCCCCCACCCTGCCTCGGCTTTTTGCCCACCGCAGCTTTTTGCCCCTCGCCACTTTTTGCACCCCGCCGCTTTTCGCACCCCGCCGCTTTTTGCCCCCCCGCCGCCGCGGCTTTTCCCCGCCGTGGCTTTTTCCCCCCTGCCCCCGTGGCCTTTTACCCGCTGCGGCTTTTTGCCCCCACC
The DNA here is from genome assembly GCF_000001405.40 of Homo sapiens. Classification (NCBI taxonomy): domain Eukaryota; kingdom Metazoa; phylum Chordata; class Mammalia; order Primates; family Hominidae; genus Homo; species Homo sapiens. Next base: position 125,085,722 of record NC_000001.11, on the reverse strand, counting down.
CCGCCTCGGCTTTTTACGCGCTGCGGCTTTTTGCCCACGCCGCGGCGGCTTTTTGCCCCCTGCCGCCGCGGCTTTTTAGCCCCCGCCGCTGCGACTTTTTGCCCCCACCCCGCCTCGGCTTGTTGCCCGCCGCGGCTTTTTACCACCCGCCGCCGCGGATTTGTGCCCCCCTCGCAGGCGTGGCATTTGCCCGCCGCGGCTTTCTGCCACCCGTGGCAGATGGGTGGATGATGATGGAATCATCATCAAATGGAATAGAATGGAATCATCAAATGCAATCAAATGGCATCGTCATCAAATGAAATCAAATGGAATCATCGAATGCCCTCAAATGGAATCATCAACGAATGGAATCAAATGGAATCATTGAATGGACTAGAATGTAATCATCATCAAAAGGAATTGAAAGGAATCATCAAATGGACTGGAATGGAATCAATGAATGGACTCGAATGAAATCATCATCGAATGGTTTTGAATGGAGTCATTGAATTAACTCGAATGGAATAATCATCGAATGGAGTCGAATGGAATCATCGAATGGAATCGAATGGAATCATTTAATGGGATCGAATGGAATCGTCATCGAATGGTATCGAATGGAATCATCATCGAATGGAATCTAATGGAATAATAATGTATTGGGAGCGAATGGAATCATCAATGAATGTAATCGAATGGAGAAATCAAATGGAATCCATTCGAATCATCATCGAATGGAACCAAATGCAGTCATCATCGAATGGAATTGAATGGAATCCTCCACTGAATGGAATCGAATGGAATCATCAGCGAATGGAATCAAAAGGAATCATCATGGAATACAATAGAATGGAATCATCGAATGGAATGGAATGGCATCATCATGGAAAGGAATCACAGGGGATCATCTAATGGAATCGAACCGAATCATCGAATGGAAACGAATGGAATCATCATCGAATGGAATCAAATGTAATCATCAAATAGACTCGAATGGAATAATCGAATAGACTCCAATAGAATCAACCAATGAAATCGAATGCAATCATCAAATGGACTCGAATGGAATCATCGTAAAATGGAATCAGATGGAATCAATGAAGGGACTAGAATGGAATCATCAAAAGGATATGAATGGAATCATCATTGAATGGAATCAAATGGAATCACTGAATGGACTCGAATGGAATCATCATCGAAAGGAATCGAATGGGATCATCGTCAAATGGAATCGAAGGGGAACATCATCAAAAGTAATACAATGGAATCACCAAATGGACACGAAAGTAATGATCAAATGGACACGAATGGAATCATCAAATGGAATCGAATGGAATCATTGAATGGACTCAAATGGAATTATCGAATGGACTCAAATGGAGTCATCAAACTGACTCTAGTGGAATCATCATCAAATGGAATCCAATGGAATCATCAAATGGACTCGAATTGAATCATTGAATGAACTCGAATGAAATCATCGAATGGACTCAAATGGAATCATCATTGAATGGAATCGAATGGAATCCTCGAATAGAATCAAAAGGAATCATCAAATGAAATCGAACAGAATCATCATCCAATGGAATCGAATGGAGTCATCAAATGAAATTGAACGGAATCATCATCCAATGGAATCGAATGGAATCATCGAACGGAATCGAAGCAATCATCATCGAATGGAATCAAATGGAATCGAATGGAATCATCGTCAAGTGGAATCAAGTGGAATCATGGAATGGAATCAAATGGAATCATTGGTGAATGGAATGGAATGCAATCAATGAATGGAATTGGATGCAATCACCAATGAATGGAATCGAATGGAATCATCGAATGGACTCAAATGGAATCATCATCGAATGGAATCGAATGGAATCCTCGAATAGAATCAAAAGGAATCATCAAATGAAATCGAAGGGAATCATCATCCAATGGAATCGAATGGAGTCATCAAATGAAATCGAACGGAATCATCATCCAATGGAATCGAATGGAATCATCGAACGGAATCGAAGCAATCATCATCCAATGGAATCAAATGGAATCATCAAATGGAATCGAATGGAATCATCGAATGGACTCGAATAGAATCATCATCAAATAGAATCGTGTGGAATCATGTAATGGGCATGAATAGAATAATCATCAAATGGAATCGAATAGAATCATCTAATTTACTCTAAGAGAATCATTATTGAATGCAATAGAATGGAATCATCGAATGGAATCAAATGGAATCATCATCGTATGGAATTGAGAGGAATCATCGATTGGACTCGAATGTAATCATCAGAAAATGAAATCTAATGGAATCATCAAAGGGATTCGAACGGAAGCATCATCGAATGGAATCGAATGGAATCTTCATCAAGTATAATAAAAAGCAATCATCAAATGGATTCAAATAGAATCATCAAATGGAATCAAATGGAATCATCATCGAATGGAATCAAATGGAATCATCGAATTTACTCAAATGGAAACATCAAGTGGAATTGAAGGGAATCATCAAATGGACTTGAATTTAATCATTGCATGGACTCGAATGGAATCATCGAGTGGACTCGAAAGGAATCATCATCGAATGAAATCGAATGGAATCACCGACTGGACACAAATGGAATCATCTTCGAATAGAATCCAATGGAATCATCAAATGGACTCGAATGGAATATCATCAAACGGAATCAAAAGCATCATCGAATGGACTCAAATGGAATTATTGAATGGACTCGAATGGAATCATCGAATGCACTCAAATGGAATCATCATCGAATGGACTCAAATGGAATGATTGAATGGACTCAAATGGAATCATGGATTGGACTCAAATAGAATTATCGAATGGGCTCGAATGGAATCATCGAATGGACTCGAATGGAATCATTTTTGAATGAAATCAAATGGAATCATCAAATGGAACCAAATGGAATCATCGAATGGAATTGATCAGAGTCGTCATCGAATGGAATCAAATGGAATCATCAAATGGAATCGAATGCAGTCATTATCAAATAAACTCAAATGGAACCATCATTGAATGGAATCAAATGGATTCGTCGAATGGCATCAAATGGAATCATCATCAAATGGAATCTAATGAAATAATCGAATGGACTCGAGTGGAATCATTGAATGGAGTCAAATGGAATCATCGAATAGCATCGAATGGAATCATCATCGAATGGAATTGAAAGGAATCATCAAATGGACTTGAATGAAATCATTGAATGGATTTGAATGGAATAATCATCGAATGGAATCAAAAGGAATAATAGAATCGACGCAAATGGTATCATCATCAAATGGAATCGAATGGAATCAATGAAAGGAATCGAATGGAATCATCATGGAATGTTATCAAATGAAATCATCATCGAATGGAATCGAAAGGAATCATCATCTAATGGAAACTAATGCAATCATCAATGATTGAAATCAAATGGAGAAATCGGATGGAATCATCGATTGGCCTCAAATGGAATTATTCAATGGGCTCGAATGGAATCATCGAATGGACTCGAATGGAATCATTATCGAATGGAATCTACTGGAATCATCTAATGGAATAGAATCTAATCATCGAATGGAATCGATCGGAATCATTGATTGGAATCGAATGCAATCATCATCAAATGGAATCGAATGGAATCATCATCAAATAGAATCGAATGGAATCATCAAATGGAATCGAATGGCATCATTGTCTAATGCAATCAAATGGAATCATAGAATGGAATCCAATGGAATCATCATCGAATGGAATCGATTGGAATCATTATACAATAGAATTGAATGGAATCACTGAATGGAATCATCATCAAATAGATTCCAATGGAATCATTGATCTGACTCGAATGGAATCATCATTGAATGGAATCGAATGGAATCATTGAATGGAAACGAATGGAATCATCATCGAATGGAATCGAATGGTATCATCAAGTGCACTTGAATGGAATCATCAATGAATGGAATCGAATGGTATCATCGAATGGAATCGAATGGAATCCTCGAATGCAATAGAATTGAATTATCACCGAATGGAATCGAATAGAATCATCGAATGAAATGGAATTGAATCATGATTGAATGGAATCGAATGAAATCATCATGAAATGGAATCGAATGGAATCCTCGCATGCAATAGAATTGAATTATCACTGAATGGAATCGAATAGAATCATTGAATGAAATGGAATTGAATCATGATTGAATGGAATCGAATGAAATCATCATGAAATGGTATCGAATGGAATCATCATCGAATCGAAACGAATGGAATCATCAACGAATGAAATCGAAAGGAATCATCATTAAAAGGAGTCGAATGGAATCATCAATGAATGGAAACAAATGGAATTATTGAATGGAATAAAATGTAATCATCATCGAATTGAACCCAATGGAATCACTAAATGGACTCGAATGGAATCATTGATTTGACTCAAATGGAATCATCATTGAACGGAATAGAATGGAATCATCGAATGTAATTGAATAGAATCATCATCGAATGGAATTGAATGGAATCATCGAATGGACTCGAATGGAATAATCATTGAATGGAATCGAATAGAATCATCATCAAATGGAATCGAATAGAATCATCATCAAATGGCATCGAATGGAGTCATCGAATGGAATAGAAGGGAATCATCATAGAATGGAATCAAATAGAATCATCGAATGAAATCAAATGGAATCATCATCGAATGGAATTGAATGGAATCATCATCAAATGGAATCTAATGGAATCATCATCGAATGGAATCGAATGGAATCATCATCAAATTGAATTGAACAGAATCATCATCGAATTGAATCTAACAGAATCATCATCGAATGGAATCAAATGGAATCATCAATGAATAAAATTGAATGGAGTCACCAAATGGAATCTGTTTGAATCATCATCAAATGGAACTGAATGCAGTCATCATCGAATGGAATCAAATGGAATCATTGAATGGACTCGAATGGAATCATCGAATGCACACAAAAGCAATAATCATCGAATGGAATCTAATGGAATCATCAAATGGAATCGAATGGAATCATCATCGAATGGACTCGAAAGGAAATATTGAATGGAATCGAATGGAATCGTAATCGACTGGAATTGAATGGAATCATCAAATGGACTCGAATGAAATCATCGGAGAATGGAATTGAATGGAATAATCGAATGGACTTGAATGGAATCAACTTTGAATGGAATCGAAGGGAATCATCGAATGGAATCGAAAGCAATCATCAGGGAATGGAATCGAATGGAACCATCATCGACTGGAATTGAATGGAATCATTGAATGCACTCGAGAGGAATCATCAGAGAATGGAATCGAATGGAATTATCAAATGGACTGGAATTGAATCAACTTTCAATGGAATTGAATGGAATAATCGAATGGACTTGAATGCTATCATCAAATGGACTCGAAAGCAATCATCATCGAATGGAATCGAATGGAATCATTGAATGGACATGAATGGAATTATCATCGAATGGAATTGAATGGAACCATCAAATGGACTCGAATGGAATTATCATCGAATGGAATGGAATGGGACCATCGAATGGATTCGAATGGAATTATGATCGAATGGAATGGAATGGAACCATCGAATGGACTCGAATGGAATCATCATCGAACGGAATCAAATGGAATCATCATCTAATGGAATCAAATAGAATCATTATCGAATGAAATAGATTGGAATCATCATTGAATGGAATCAAATGGAATCATCATCGAATGGAATCGAATGGAATCATCAACAAATGTAATCGAAAGGAATCATCAAATGGAATCTAATGGAATCATCATCGAAGGAAACCAAATAGAATCATCATGAAATAGAACTGAATGGAATCATCATCGAATTGAATCGAATGGAATCATAATCAAATGGAATCGAATGGAATCATCATTGAATTGAATCTAATGGAATCGACATCGAATGGAATCCAATGGAATCACTGAATGAAATCGAATGGAATGATCATCGAATGGAATCAAAGGGAATCATAGAATGGGATCGAACAGAATAATCGATGGTAATTGAACGGAATCATCAAATGGATTCGAAGGGAATCCTTACCAATTGCTTGAGAGATCGCAGTGGGTTTGTGGGGAAAAAGTTGTCAAGATGATGGATCTTTCCCAACTTCTGCAGCTGTCAGTGGTCTCCCAATCTCACCAGCCCCACTTTGTCTTTAGGAATTTATTGATTATTCCAGCTTTACTTGTCATAGTGGTGTCTATTTGCATCTGTCCTATGTAAGTGCATCTGTCCTCTTTCTCCTTGCAGGTGCAAGTACTCAAGAGTACACTGTTGTTACTAATTACTCAGTATTGCTTGTTACATTGTCAAAGATCAAAGAACATTTTTAAAGATAAAAAAATTCTTGGAGGTTTTGTAATGAATGGTTAATTCTGCAGACATGGCTTTCCAAAACCTTGCGCATTCCAAAGGTCTTCAGGACTGGCCCTTGACAAGCTCCTGGGAGATGATAACCTATGAGCCCTTGGTGTATGTTGCCTGATGAGAGTCTTTGTATACCTGAAAACGTAGGTCATATAAAATAGCTGATGCTAACAACGTGATTTCTTGTGATCACCTGTTTCTGTATGCCTATGACTTTGTGTAATGCCATATTAATATGACCTCTCTTAGGGCATAGGGAGGTTGGGAACTAAGTAGATAAGTTCAGTCACAGGATGCTCGATGCATATGTGGTGGAATCCTAATAAAAACCCTGGACTCAAGACTGACTGAGCTTCTCTAGTTGGCAACAAGTTCACACATGTTGTCTCACACCATTGTAAAGAAAATTAGTCAGTGTGAAGTCCCCACTATGAAAGGACACCTGTAAGCTCACATCTGATTTGTCCTGGACTCAACTTTATGTGCTTTTATGCTTCTGATTATTTTAATCTGGTTTCTTTCACTGTTAGAAACTATAACCACAAAAATATCAGCTTTCTGGGGTTATGTGAATCATTAAACCAAAGGGGGACTTGGGGTCCCCAATAAAAAGTATATATATTCTTAAAAAGAAAAAGAAAACTGGCTATAGCAGATATTGCTGATGACTTGTCTTCTATGTCCTGGACTCAATGTGTTCACTTGAAATTCACCTGTTTCCAGCTAACTGAGAGCTCCCCACATCATGCCTGTCTTTCTGATTTTTGGGCCTGCCTGCAAGCTTCTTGAGGCTAATCAGTGCTTCTCAACCACACATAGGACCAAAGAAGGAGTTAGGGGTGGAGAGTTAATGATTCTAAGGCAATCCTTAAGCAATAAGAGATGGGGATTCCAGCATTGCCATCTCTTTGTATGGTTATTTTAACACAATCTCCATACCTCCATCATTACTGAGCACATAGCAGTAACTACTCATTCACACTGGATTCGTGTTCTGTTTCATTTTCTCCACTTCTGTGCTTTCTCACTCAATTTCTGATTAAAGTATCTGACCCCAGATATTTGTTTCATAGTCTATTTTGGAGGGAATCCAGAGCCAAGACAATAACAATGGGAGCTTTGCAATGAGGGAGGGTGAGTATAATCATCAGAAGGTTACCTACCTCACTGGGAACATGAGACCTGCAGAGCTTGCTGTTTCAATGAGAGAAACATGTTGAATCTCAGTTGAATACATATATACATACATATATACATACATATATATATATATATATATATATGTATGTATATATGTGTGTGTGCAATAAGACGTGCCCTTTACTTATATCAAAGGAAAGTGCTCTTTACCTCTTTTTGTTGTTGTGTTTTTATCACTATTGCCTACACAAGCAGAATATCATACCCAGGATTTAAAGCCCTCTCTGCAGGATTTTCAAGCTCATGTTTTTATCATAAGTCACTCTGCTTCCATGTGTTTTCAATCTAATCCTCATTCCTCTGCTTTTACACCAGAGAACTCATCACTGACTTATTTTTGACTGACCTCCTTATAGAGCTGTCAAGTACACGATTTCTGCTGTGACCTTTCTCTTAGAGTTCAGTCATATAGCCTCTCACTAGATATCATTTCCTCTTATCTTTCCTAATAATGAATTGTCAGTTAAAACTCAATATTTTTAAGATTGAGCTTACCATCTGCACACACACACACACCATGATTGCTGTATTCTCATAGCCTTGAAACACTAATGTCACCTTGATGTCTGCCTTTTCTCTCTCTGCTACCTCATTCCTCATCCTTAGATTATTCTAAAAGATTCAATTAGATCAAGTTGGCTAATTATATTTTTAAGATCCTCTCTACCCTTCCCAACATTTTGTTTAACAAAATTTAAAAATTTCTGGCAGGAGACTGTTGAAATCCCCATGGATGACTATGGTTTTACTATTTTACCTTTCAGTTTTAATAAGTTTTATATTATGTATTTTGAAGTAATGTTATTGTGTGCATACATATTTCTCATTTACATGACTTCTTGGTGTATTTTCCCCTTTTTCATTTTGAAATGTTATTCTTCATCCCCAGTGATATTTCCTGTTCTGATGTCTACTTTGTTCATCACAGTTTTAGGGGGTTTTGGTTTGTTTGTTTTTCTATTGTTTGGTTCAAGTAAGTTTCTTATAAATCTGTTCGATTCCATTTGATGATTCCATTTGATTCCATTCGAGGATTCCACTCGATTCCATTCGATGATGATTCCATTCGAGTCCATTCAATGATTCCATTCGAGTCCATTCGATGATTCCATTCGAATCCATTCGATGATGATTCCATTAGAGTCCGTTCGATGATTCAGTTTGATTCCATTCGATTCCATTTGATGATGATTCCATTAGAGTCCATTCGATGACTCCATTCAAGTCCATTTGATGATTCCATCCGATTCCATTCAATGATGACACAATTCGAGTCCCTTCGTTGATTCCATTCAATTCCATTCTATGATGACTGCATTTGTTTCCATTCAATGATGATTCCAACGGATTCCATTCAATTTCTCCATTCGATTCCATTCCTTGCTGATTCCATTCAATTCCATTAGATGATGACTCCACTAGATTCCATTTGATGATGATTTCATTAGATTCTATTCGATGATGATCCAATTCGATTCTATTCAAAGATGATTCTATTTGATTCCATTCAATAATTTCATTCGATTCCATTTGAAGATTCCATTCAATTCCGTTCAATGGTGATTCCATTCATGTCCAATCGATTATTCCATTCGATTCCATTTGATGATGATTCCATTTGAGTCCATTCGATGATTCCATTCGATTCCATGTGATGATGATTCCATTGAGTCCATTCGATAATTCCATTTAATTCCATTAGATGATGACTGCATTCGGTTCCATTCGATGATGATTCTAACGGACTCCATTAGAAGACTCCATTAGATTCCATTCATTGATGATTCCATTCGATTCCATTTGATGATGATTCCTTTCGATTCCATTCGATGATGATTCCATTCGATTACATTGGATGATGATTCCTTTCGATTCCATTTGATGATGATTCCATTCGATTCCATTCAATGATGATTTGATTGGATTCAATTCGATGATTCCATTTGATTACATTCGATGATTCCTTTTGGGTCCATTTGATGATTCCATTCGAGTCCATTCAATGATTCCATTCGAGTCCATTAAATGATTCCATTTGATTCCATTCAATGATGACTCCATTCGAGTCCATTCAATGATGATTCCATTTGAATCCATTCAATGATTCTGTTGGATTCTATTCTTTGTTTTATTTTGATTCTTTTTGATGATGATTCCATTCAGTTTCATTCGATGATCCCATTCGATCCTATTCGATGATGTTTCCATTTGATTCCATTTGAAGAAAATTCCATTCAATTACACTGATGATGATTCCATTCGATTCTATTCGATGCCGATTCTATTCGATTCCATTCGATGATGATTCCATTTGATTCCATTCAATGATTAAATTCGATTCCATTCTATGATGATTTCATTTGAGACCATTCGATGATTCCATTCAATTCCATTCAATAATGATTCCATTCAAGTCCATTCGATGATTCCATTCAAGTCCATTCGATGATTCCATCTGATTCCATTCAACGAATCCATTCAATTCCATTCTATGATGATTCCATTCATTTCAATCCGATGATGATTCCATTCGATTCCATTCAATGATTCCATTCGATTCCATTTGATGATGATTCCAATCAATTCCATTCGATGATTCCATTCGAATCCATTCGATGATGAGTCCATCCATTTCAATTTCATGATAATTCCATTCGTTTCAATTCAATGGTGTTTCCATTCAATTCCATTCGATGTTAATTCCATTAGTTTCCATTGGATGATGATTCCATTCGAGTCCATTTGATGATGATCACATTCGATTTCATTCCATAATTCTATTCGATTCCATTCGATGATGATTCCATCTGATACCATTTGCTGATTCCATTCAATTCCATTCGATGATGATTCCATTCGATTCAATTTGATGATTATTCCATTCGAGTCCGTTCGATGATTCCATTCAATTCCATTCGATGATGATTGCATTCGAGTCCATGGATTATTCCATTCCATTCAATTTGCTGATTCCATTCGAGTCCATTCGATGATTCTCTTCGATTCCATTCGAAAATTCCGTTTGATTCCGTTTGATGTTGATTCCATTCGAGTCCATTCGATGATAATTCCATTTGGTTCTATGTAATTATTCCATTCGATTCCATTTGAAGATGATTCCATTCGAGACCATTCAATGCTTCCATTCAATTCATTCGATGACGATTCCATTCAATTCCATTTGATGATTCCATTCAATTCCATTCGATCATAATTCCATTCAAGCCCATTCGAAGATTAGATTCGTTTCCATTCAATGATTCCATTCCATTCCATTTGATGATGATTCTGTTCGATTCCATTTGATGATGATTCCATTCGATGATGATTCCATTTGATTTCATTCAACGATTCCATTTGTTTCCATTCAGAGATAATTCTATTCTATTCCATTTGATGATTCCATCAATTCCATACGAAGAGTATTCTATACGATTCCATTTGATGATGACTCCATTCGATTCCATTCCATAATGATTCAGTTCGTGTCTATTCAATGTTTCCTTTCGATTCCATTCAACAATGATTCCATTCGAGTCCGTTAGATCATTCCATTCAATTCCATTCAATGATGATTCCATTCGATGATTCCTTTCTATTTCATTCGATGATGATTCCATTCGAATCCATTTGATGATTCCATTCCATTCCATTCAATGGTGATTCAATTCGAGTCCATTCGATGATTCCATTTGACGATGATTCCATTCGAGTCAATTTGATAATTCAATGTGATTTCATTCGATGACAATTACATTCGATTCTATTCGATGATTCCGTTCTATTCCATTAGATGATGACTCCATTCGAGTCCATTCGATGGTTCCATTCAATTCTATTTGAAGATGATTCCATTGGATTCCATTCCATGATTCCATTCGATTCCATTTGATGACCATTCCATTCGAGTCCATTCAATGATTCCATTTGATTTCATTCGATGATGATTCCATTTGAGTCCATTCGATGATTCCATTCAAATCCATTTGATGATTGTTTCAATTATATTCGATGATGATTCCATTCGAGTCCATTCGTTGTTTCCATTCGATTCCATTCGATGATTCAATGATGATTCCATTCGGGTCCATTTGATGATTCCATTCGATTCCATTTGATGATGATTCCATTCGAGTCCATTTGATGATCCCATTTGATTCCATTTTATGATGATTCCATTCGGATACAATAGATGATTCCATTCGATGATGTTTCTATTGCAGTCCATTAGATGATTCCATTCGATTCCATTTGATTATGATTCCATTCGAGTCCATTCCGTGATTCCATTCGATTCCATTTGATGATGATTCCATTCAATTCCATTCGATGATTCCATTTGATTCCATTCGATGATGATTTCATTCGAGTCCATTCGATGATTCCATTTGATTCCATTCGATGATGATTCCATTCAAGTCCATTCGATGATCCCATTTGTTTCCATTTTATGATGATTCCATTCGGATTCAATAGATGATTCCATTCGATGATGTTTCTATTGCAGTCCATTTGATGATGCCATTTGATTCCATTCTCCAATGATTAAATTCGAGTCCATTAGATGATTCCACTCGATTCCATACAATGATGATTCCGTTCAATTCCATTCGATGATTCCATTCTATTCCATTCAATGATGATTCTATTCTTCCCCATTAGATGATTCCACACGATTCCATTCGATGATGATTCTATTTGAGTCCATTCTATGATTCAATTCGATTCAATTCGATGATGACTCCATCCCATTCCATTCATTAGTGATTCCATTCAATTCCATTCATTGATTCCATTCCGTTCCTTTTGACAATGATTCCATTCGATTCCATTTGATGATGATTCTGTTCTTCACCATTAGATGATTCCACACGATTCCAGTCGATGATGATTCTATTCAAGTCCATTCGATAATTCCATTTGATTCCATTTGATGATGACTCCATTCCATTTCATTCATTGGTGATTCCATTCAATTCCATTCATTTATTCCATGAAATTCCATTCGACAATGATTCCATTCGATTCCATTCGATGATTACACTCGATTCCACTTGACGATGACTCCATTCGATTCCATTCGATGATTCCATTTGATTCTATTTGTTGATAATTCCATTCGATGCCATTCGATGATGATTGCATTCAATTACGTTCGAAGATTCCATTCGATTCCATTTGATGATTCCATTTGATTACATTCGAGGATTCCACTCTATTCCATTCGATGATCATTCCATTCAAGTCCATTCAATGATTCCATTCCAGTTCATTTGATGATTCCATTAGATTCCATTCAATGATGTTTCCATTTGATTCCATTCGATGATTCCATTCGATTCCATTCGATGATTCCATTTGAGTCCATTCGATTATTCCTTTTGAGTCCATTCGATGATCCCATTTGAGTCCATTCGATTATTCCATTTGAGTCCATTCTATGTTCCCATTCAATACCATTCGATGATAATTCCATTGGAGTCCATTCGATGATGATTCCATTTGATTCCATTGCATTATTCAGTTCAATTCCATTAGATGATTCCCTTAGATTCCTTTCGATGATTCCATTCGATTCCATTCAATGATGATTCTGTTTGATTCCATTCGATGATGACTGCATTCGATTCCTTTCGATGATGATTCCAATGTATTCCATTCGATTTCTCTATTTGATTCCATTCGTTGATGATTCCATTCGGTTCCATTAGATAATGACTCCTTTAGGTTCCATTCGATGATGATTCCATTCAATTCCATTTGATGATGATTCCTTTCGATTCCATTCAATGATGATTCCATTCAATTCCATTTGATGATTCCACTCGATTGCATTCGATGATGATTCCATTCGTGTCCTTTCGATGACTCTATTCGATTTCATTCGATGATGTTTCCATTTGAGTTCTTTGAATGATTCCATTCAAGTCCATTTGATGATTCCTTTCAATTCCATTCGATGATGATTCCATTCTTGTCCATTCGATGACTCTATTCGATTTCATTCGATGATGATTCCATTCGAGTTCTTTGAATGATTCCATTCAAGTCCATTTGATGATTCCTTTCAATTCCATTCAATGATGATTCCATTCGACTCCATTAGACGATGTTTCCATGCTATTCCATTCGATGATGACTCCTTTCGGTTCCATTCGATGATGATTCCATTCGGTTCCATTCGACGATGATTCCTTTGGATTCCATTCGATGATGATTCCATTCGAGTCCATTTGATGTTGATTCTTTTCGATTCCATTCGATGATGATTCCATTTGATTACATTCGATGATGATTCAATTCGATTCTGTACGATGATTCCATTTGAGTCCATTCGATGATTCCATTCGAGTCCGTTCAATGATTCCATTTGATTCCTTTTGATTAGTATTCCATTCGAGTCCATTCGGTGACTCCTTTTGATCTCAATTGAAGATGATTCCATTCGATTCCATTCGATGATACCATTCGATACCATTCATTGATGATTCCATTCCAGTGCATTCAATGATACCATTCGATTCCATTTGATTCCATTCGATGATTCCATTCAATTCCATTCTATGATGATTCTGTTTGATTCCATTCGATTCCATTCAATGATTCCATGAAATTCCATTCTATGATGTTTCCATTCGAGTCCATTTGATGATTCCATTGGACTCCATTTGATGATGATTCCATTCCAATATTCCATTCGATTCTATTCGATGATGATTCCATTCGATTTCATTTGATGCTGATTCCATTCAATTCCATTTGATGATTCCATTTGATTCCATTCGATGATGATTCCGATGAATTCCATTCAATGATTCCATTCGATGATTCCATTTGATTTCATTTGATGATTCCATTTGATTCAATTTGATAATGGTTCCATTCGAGTCATTTGATGATTCCATTTGATTCCATTCGATGATGATTCCGATCAATTCCATTCGATGACTCCATTCGATTCCATTCGATGATTCCATTTGATTCCATTCGATAATGATTCCATTCGAGTCCATTCAATGTTTCCATTTGAGCCCATTTGATAATTTCATTTGAGTCCAATCTTTGATTCCATTAGAGTCCATTTGATCATTCCGTTTGAGTCCATTCGATTATGATTCCATTCGAGTCCATACAATAATTCCATTTGAGTCCATTTGATGATTGCTTTTGATTCAATTTGATTATATTCAATTTGAGTCAATTTGTTGATGCCATTTGATTCTATTAGATGATGATTCCATTCGTGTCCATTCAGTGATTCCATTTGATTTCATTTGATGATGATTCTTTTCGAGTCCATTAGATGATTCCATTCGATTCCATTTGATGATGATTCCATTCGAGTCCATTAAGTGATTCCACTCGATTCTATTTGATGATGATTCCATTCGATTCGATTTGGTGATGATTGTATTCCTGCCTATTAGATGATTTCACACGATTCCATTCTATGATGATTCCATTCGATTCCATTCGTTGATGACACCATTCAATTCCATTCATTGGTGATTCCATTCAATTCCATTCATTGATTCCATTCCATCCCATTCGACAATGATTCCATTCGATTCCATTCGATGATTCCACTCAATTCCACTTGATGATGATTCCATTCGATTCCATTTGATGATTCCATTTGATTCCATTCAACGATTATTGCCTTCAATTCCATTCGATGATTCCATTCGATTCCATTCAATGATGATTCTGTTCGATTCCATTTCATAATTCTATGTGATTCTATTTAAGGATTCCATTCGATTCCATTCAAAGATGATTCCATTCGAATCCATTTGATGTTTTCATTCGAGTCAATTCAATGATTCCATTCGAGTCCATTTGATGATTCCATTAGATTCCATTCGATGATGATTCCATTAGGGTCCATTTGATTATTCCATTCGAGACCATTCGATAATTCCATTCAACTCCATTTGATGATTCCATTCGAGTCCATTAGATGATTCCATCCGACTCCATTTGATGATGATTCCATTCGAGTTCATTCGATCATTCCATTCAATTCCATTTGATGATTCCATTTGAGTCCTTTCGATTATTCCACTCGAGTCCATTCAATTATTCCATTCGAGTCCATTCAATTATTCCATTCGGGTCCATTCGATGATTCCGTTCGATTCCATCCTATGATTCCTTTCGATTCCTTTTGATGATGATTCCATTCGATTCCATTCGATGATGATTGCATTCGTTTCCATTCGATGATGATTCCAGCAGATTCCATTCGATTTCTCCATTCGATTCCATTAGTTGATGATTCCTTTCAATTCCATTACATGATGCTTCCATTAGATTCCATTTGATAATGATTCCTTTGGATTCCATTCGGACGATTCCATTTGATTCCATTCAATGATGATTCCATTCGATTCCATTCTATGATTCCATTCGTTTCCATTCAATGGTGATTCCATTCATGTCCATTCGATGATTCCATTTGATTTCATTCGATGATGATTCCATTCGAGTCCATTCAATGATTCCATTCGATTCCACTCGATGATGATTCCATTCTAGTCCATTCGATGATTCCATTTTATTTCATTCGGTGATGATTCCATTCTATTCCATTCGATGATTCCATTCTATTCCATTCGATGATGATTCCATTCGAGTCCATTCGATGACTCCATTTGAGTCCATTCGATTATGATTCCATTCGATTTCATTCGATGTTTCTATTCGATGTTGATTCAATTCTATTACATTGGATGTTTCCATTCGATTCCATTCGATGATGATTCCATTTGATTCCATTCGATTATTATCCCATTTGATTTTATTCGATGATGCTATTTGATTTCATTTGATGATTGTATTCGATTCCATTCGATCATGATTCAATTATATTGCATTGGATGATTCCTTTTTATTCCATTCGATGATGATTCCATTCGATTCCAAACTATGATTATTCCATTCAATTACACTCGATGATGATTTCATTTGATTTCATTCGATGATTCTATTTGATTCCATTTGATTATCATACAATTCTATTCCATTGGATGATTCCATTCAATTCCATTCGATGATGGTTCCATTCGATTCCATTCGAGGATGATTCCATTCGTTTGCATTCAATGAAGATTTCAATCGAGTCCATTTGTAGATTCCATTCGATACCATTCGATGATGATTCCATTCGAGTCCATTTGATGATTCCTTTCCATTCCATTCGATGATGATTCCATTCAAGTCCATTCGATGATTCCATTAGATTCCATTTGACAATGATTCCATTCGAGTCCATTTGATGATTCCATTCGATTCCATTTGATGAAGATTCCATTCGAGTCCATTCGAAGAATCCATATGATGATGATTCCCCTCGAGTCCATTCGATTATCCCATTCAAGTCCATTCAATTATTCCCTTAGATTCCATTCATTGATGATGCTATTTGTTGCCATCTGATGATTCCATTTGACTCCATTCGATGATGTTTCCATTTAAGTCCATTCGATGATTCCACTTGAGTCCATTCAATGATATCATTCGATTCAATTCGATGATGATTCCATTCGACTCCATTCGATGGTGATTCCATTCGATTTCATTCGATGGTTCCATTCGATTCCATTCGATGATGATTCCCTTCGGGTCCATTAGATGATTCCATTTGATTACACTTGATGATGATTCCATTCGAGTCCATTCAGTGATTCCACTCGATTCCATTCCCCGATGATTACTTTTGAGTCCATTTGATGATTCCACTCTATTCCTTATGATGATGATTCTATTTGATTCCATTCGATGATTCAATTCTATTCCATGAGATGATGATTCCATTCGAGAACATTAGATGATTCCATTCAATTCCATTCAATGATGATGGTATTCGTGTCCTTTAGATGATTCCATTCGATTACATTCAATGATGATTTCATTCTATTCATCCAATGATGATTCCATTCGTGTCCATTAGATGATTGCATTTGATTCCATTTGATGTTGATTCCATTTTTTTTTCCATTCAGTGATGATTCCATTCGGGTCCGTTGGATGATTCCATTAGATTCCACTCGATGATGATTCCATTATATTCCATTAAATGTTGATTCCATTCGATTCCATTCTCTGATGATTACTTTTGACTCCATTCGATAATTCCACTTGATTCCATACGATGATGACTCCATTCGATTCCATTCGATGATTCCATTCTATTCCATTACATGATGATTGGAGAGGAGAGTATGTCCCTCAAGAATGAGACGGGAAATGCACAGGAACTGCAACACCACCTGTCCTTGAAGACGAGGCCTGTCACGTTCGCATAGGGCTCATTCTAGGCAATGCACCCACCCATGAGGGGAAACGTGGAGAAGTAGGAAGCTTCTCTGCCTGAGACACGCAGGGGAGCCGAGAGCTCCAGGGTCATGAGACCTGCCCAATGAAGCAGAAACACGTTTGGAGAGAGAAACAATCGCGACACGGATCTCCAGGAAGTGTCTCCCTGATGGACTGGGAAGTCGTCTTAGTGGAAGACATTTGGCCAGAGCGAGAGGCATCCAGGCCCCTGAAAAACAGGGGAGGCAGAGCAAGAGGGAGGACAGCACAGAGGCTGGAGCCCAGGCAGGATACGGCATCATGCCACCGACCCAGGCATAAGGGGAGGTGTTCCTAAAGGGTGGCTTGTCCAGAGAGGCCAGCGTTCCAGTGACAGGGATTGTTGCCATCTCCCATTCCCGGCTTCCTCTTGCAGACTGTATCGTGGTGTGACTTCATTTCTCAGAGAAGAGGCGTGAAAAGATACAAGCATCTTCTCTGACGTGGGTCCGCTGCTCTCCTGTGGGACAAAGAGCTCCTGTGGGGCTCTTGTCCTCGGCTGCAGTGTGTTCATCTTCATCCTAGAAAGGAGGCCGCTCAGGATGTTGATGAGATTTCAATTGCTCCGGGAACGACGCATCTCCTCACCTGGGCCAGGCCCTCACACACCCAAAGTGGATCCACGGCGGCAGAAACCATTGACAACCGGCCTCATGACCCAGGCAGAGACACAGAAAGAGGCTCACCTGAGACAGACCGCCATGCGAGAAACCGCATTGTGGCACACAGGGCACATTTGGCCAGACATGCACACGCACATGGGCACACAGACACAAACCGACAGAGAGAGGGAAAGAAACATGCAGAGACTGAGAGACAGAGAGAGAAGAGAGAATGGGAGACACACACCCAGACACATGCAGACACGCACACACTCACACACACACACACACACAGAGTCATACAGCAGCGACATTGAAACACACACCCCCAGTCAACCCCTGAGGCTGCGGGGTTCTGCTCTCGACGAGAAGGACCCTTGGGTGAGAGAGCAGCCCAGGGTCACGCAGGTGGACCTGTCCTCGAGATCATGGCAGCACGACTTTTGGGGAGACTCACCCCAACCAACTTCGTCTGGGCAGGCCTGAGGCTGGGACGCTGTGCTGCTTCTCCCGGACTCCGCCTGGGATTTCCTCAGCCTGGTCTGCCCTTTGCGACTCCTGGCATCCAGAGACCTTCCCGTCGACCCCGTGGAGAGGTCAGGCCAGAGCCTCAGAGCCCCGACACCCAAGCACTGCCATGGAGGTCTCCTGCTTTGCCAAGCCTCGGGGACCGGTATCTAAGACAACCATGGGAAGCACTGGGACGGGAGAAGCCGCTCGCGCCTCACACATGTGCATTGACTGGGCTGACTCGCGCACCGCTCCTAGCAGTCAGGCTGCCTCCCCTTTAAATAACGCCACCGACGAGTTAGTTGGTGCAGCACACCAGCATGGCACATGTATAGGTATGTAACTAACCTGCACAATGTGCACATGTACCCTAAAACTTAAAGTATAATAAAAAAGGATTAAAAAAATAAAATAAATAAAATAAAATAGTATTTGCTTACACCCTAAAAAATAAATAAATAAATAAATAAATAAATAAATAAATAAAGCCACCGCTGCGCGGAGACAGGGAGGCTCCTGCTGCAGCCGCGTGGGTGGCTGGATCCGAGGTCCAGTTAGGGCGGCTTGGGAGAGGGGCCGCGGGTGTCCCATCAAAGGGCCAAATCCCCATGAGTGCTGTCTTCTGGGTGGACTGACTCCCTTGATCTTCCGGCCGAAGCGAATGTCAGAGAACCAAAGGGACTGGGCTGTGTCTGGGGCTGGGGCTGGGGCTGTGGCTGGCTGCAGCAGAAGTTGCCTCAGGGCTACCAGGGCGGTGGATGGTTGGGGGTGGGGCGAATTTTACAGAAACCTCTTTGCTCCTCTGGTAGGCATTTGAAAACGTGGCTTGGGTCAGCCACAGCCCCCCCCAAGCCCCCGGGTCCCCGGTGTTCTTCCATTTTCCTTGGCATTGATGGAAAGGTCACTCGTTCCCCCCCTTCCCCCGGCACATGCCTGGACACCGCCGTCTGTTTTGCCATCGCCCCGTATGCCTCCGGTGACACACATTCACACCATCTGCAGTGGGACACACCAGTGCCACGCGTGGTCGTATGGTCTCCACCTCGGATTCGCCCGTCTTCCTCTTTGCACGTGTTCTGTAAAGCGGGGTCGGCTTTCCGGAGCCCCAGGAATTTTAGAAGCAGGGCAGGCCACTGCTCTTTCAAAGGACGAGGGAGGCAGAGGGCTGATGGATCAGTGCACTTGCAGCTGACACTTAGCCTTGATTCCTATGGGATCATTCTGTGCTGCAGCGAGGCCCTGCCTGCCTCAACAGATGAGGGGAGCCCATCCTATCTCACTCGGAGGGGGCCAAAATCGGATCTGAAGGGGAGTCTTGAGAACACAACAGGCGTCCTGAAACTCCCCCTCCCTCGGTGGAAGTCGGCTCACGGAGGTCCCGAGGACAGCACTCGTGGGGATTTGGCCCTTTGACAGGACACCCGCGGCCCCTCTCCCACTCCACCCCAAACTGGACCCCGGATCCAGCCGACCCCGGTGGGCAGCGGTGGCGTTATTTATTTATTTATTTATTTATTTATTTATTTATTTTTAGGGTGTAAGCAAACATTATTTTATTTTATTTTATTATTTTATTTTTTTAAACTTTTTTTTATTATACTTTAAGTTTTAGGGTACATGTGCACATTACGCAGGTTAGTTACATACCTACACATGTGCCATGCTGGTGTGCTGCACCAACTAACTCGTCGTTGGCGTTATTTAAAGGGGACACAGCCTGACTGCCAGGAGCGGTGCAGGAGTCGGCCCAGCCAATGAACATGCGCGAGGCGCCAGCGGCTTTTCCAGTCACAGTGCTTCCCATGGTTGTCTTAGAAACCGGTCCCCGAGGCTTGGCAAAGCAGGAGCCCTCCATGGCAGTGCTTGGGTGTCGGGGCTCTGGGGCTCCGGCCTGACCTCTCCACAGGGTCGACTGGAACGTCTCCGGATGCCAGGAGCCGCAAAACGCAGACCAGATTGAGGAAACCCCAGGCAGAGTCCGGGAGAAGCAGCAAGGCATCCCAGCCTCAGGCCTGCCCGGACGGTGTTGGTTGGGGTGAGTCTCCCCAAAAGTCGTGCCGCCATGATCTCGAGGACAGGTCCGCCTGTGTGCACCTGGGCTGCTCTCTCACCCGAGGGTGGTTCTCATTGAGAGCAGAACCCCACAGCCTCAGGGGTTGACTGGGGGTGTGTGTTTCAATGCCGCTGCTGTATGACTCTGTGTGTGTGTGTGTGTGTGTGTGAGTGTGTGTGTGTCTGCATGTGTCTGGGTGTGTGTCTCCCATTCTCTCTTCTCTCTCTGTCTCTCACTCTCTGCGTGTTTCTTTCCCTCTCTCTGTCTGTTTGTGTCTGTGTGCACGTGTGCGTGTGCGTGTTTGGCCGAATGTGCCCTGTGCGCCACAATGCGGTTTCTCACATGGCGGTCTGTCTCAGGTGAGCCTCTTTCTGTGTCTCTGCCTGGGTCATGAGGCCGGTTGTCAATGGTTTCTGCCGCCGCGGATCCACTTTGGGTGTGTGAGGGCCTGGCCCAGGTGAGGAGATGCGTCGTTCCCGGAGCAATTGAAATCTCATCAACATCCTGAGCGGCCTCCTTTCTAGGATGAAGATGAACACACTGCAGCCGAGGACAAGAGCCCCACAGGAGCTCTTTGTCCCACAGGAGAGCAGCGGACCCACGTCAGAGAAGATGCTTGTATCTTTTCACGCCTCTTCTCTGAGAAATGAAGTCACACCATGATACAGTCTGCAAGAGGAAGCCGGGAATGGGAGATGGCAACAATCCCTGTCACTGGAATGCTGGCCTCTCTGGACAAGCCACCCTTTAGGAACACCTCCCCTTATGCCTGGGTCGGTGGCATGATGCCGTATCCTGCCTGGGCTCCGTCCTCTGCTCTGTCCTCCCTCTTGGTCTGCCTCCCCTGTTTCTCAGGGGCCTTGATGCCTCTCACTCTGGCCAAATGTCTTCCACAAAGACGACTTCCCAGTCCGTCAGGGAGACACTTCCTGGAGATCCGTGTCGCGATTGTTTCTCTCTCCAAACGTGTTTCTGCTTCATTGGGCAGGTCTCATGAACCTGGAGCTCTTGGCTTCCCTGCATGTCTCAGGCAGGGAAGCTTCCTACTTCTCCACTTTTCCCCTCATGGGTGGGTGGATTGCTTAGAATGAGCCCTAGGCGACCGTGACAGGCCTCGTCTTCCAGGACAGGTGGTGTCGCAGTTCCTGTGCACTTCCTGTCTCATTCTTGAGAGACATCCTCTCCTCTGCTCCTGGGTGGACAGACTCCCTTGATCTTCTGGCCGAAGCGAATGTCAGGGAACCAAAGGGAGAGTGCTGCAGATTCTGCAAAATGCACTTGCAGATTCTACACGAAGTCTGTTTCAAAACTGCACTGTCAAAAGAAAGGTTCAACTCTCTGAGTTGAATGCATATTTCACAGCGATGTTTCTAAGAATGCTTCTGTCTAGTTGTTATGTGAAGATATTTCCTTTTCTACCATAGGCCTCAAAGCACCCTAAATGAACTCTTGCAGCTTCTACAAAAAGAGTTTTTCAAAACTGCTCTATGAAAAGAAAGGTTCTACTGTATGACTTGAATGCACACATCACAAAGCTCTTTCTGATAATGCTTCAGTGTAGTTTTTATTTGAAGATATCCCGTTTGCAACGGAGGCTTCAAAGATCCAAATATCCACCAGCAGATTCTACAAAAGGAGTGTTTCAAAACTGCTATATCAAAAGAAAGTTTCCACTCTGTTAGTTGAATGCACACATCACAAAGAAGTTTCTGAGAATGCTTCTGTCAAGTTTTTATTTGAAGATATTTCCATTTCCACCATAGGCCTCAAATAGCTCCAAATATCCACTTGCAGATACTACAAAAAGACTGTTTCAAAACTGCTCTATGAAAAGGAATGTATAACTCAGTGTGTTGAATGCACACATTACAAGGAAGTTTCTGAGAATTCTTCTGTCTCGTTATTATGTGAAGATATTTCCTTTTCCACCATAGGCCTCAAAGCTCTGAAAATGAACAATTGCGGATTGTACAGAAAGAGTGTTTCATAACTGCTGCATCAAAAGAAAGGTTGAAATCTGTGAGTTGAATGCACACGTCACAAAGCAGTTTTTGAGAATGTTTCTGTCTAGTTTTTATTTGAAGATGTACCATTTCCAAAGAACGCCTCAAAGAGCTCCAAATATCCACAAGCAGATTCAACAAATGGATTATTTCAAAACTGCTCTATCAAAAGAAAGGTTCAACTCTGTGAGTTGAATGCACACATCACTAAGGAGTTTCTGATAATGCTTCTGTCTAGTTTTTACGTGATGATATTTCCTTTTCCATCATTGGACTCAAATCGCTCCAAATTTCCACTTTCAGATCCTACAAAAAGACTATTTTGAAACTGCTCTATAAAAATGAATGTTCAACTCTGTGAGTTTAATGAAGACATCACAAAGAAGTTTCTGAGAATGCCTCTGTGTAGTTTTTATGTGAAGATATTTCCTTTTCCACCGTAGGCCTCAAAGCGCTCCAAATTTCCACTTTCAGATCCTACAAAAGGATTGTTTCGAAACTGCTCTATAAAAACTAATTTTCAACTCTGTGAGTTGAATACACACAGCACATAGAAGTTTCTGAGAATGCTTTTGTCTAGTTTTTATGTGAAGATATTTCCTTTCACACCATAGGCCTCAAAGTGCTCCAAATGAACTCTTGCAGATTCTAGAAAAAGAATGTTTCAAATCTACTCTATCAAAGGAAAGTTTCAATCTGTGAGTCTAATGCACTCATCACAAAGCAGTTTCTGAGAATGCTTCTGTCTTGTTTTTATGTGAAGATATCCCGTTTCCAAAGAAGGCCTCAAAGAGCTCCTAACATTTCCAAGTAGATTCCACAAGAAGAGTGATTCAAAACTGCTCTATCAAAGGAAATGTTCAACTCTGTGAGTTGAATGCACACATCACAAAGAAGTTTCTGTGAATGCTTCTGTCTAGTTTTTATGTGAAGGTATTGTTTTTTTCCACCATAGGCCTCAAATCACTCCAAATATCCACTTGCAGATTCTAAAAAAGACTGTTTCTAAACTGCTCTCTCAAAAGGAAGTTTCAACTCTGTGAGTTGAAGGAACACATCACAAAGAAGTTTCTGAGAATGTTTCTGTCTAGTTTTTCTTTGAAGATATTTCCTTCTCCACCTTTGGCTTCAAAGCGCTCCAAATGAACACTTGCAGATTCTACAAAAAGAGTGTGTCAAAACTGCTCTATCAATAGAAAGGTTCCACTCTGTGAGTTGAATGCACAAATCACAAAGAAGTTTCTGAGAATGCTTCTGTCTAGTTTATAGGTGAAGATATTTCCTTTTCCAAGATAGTTTCCAAATCGCTCCAAATATCCACTTGCAGATTCCACAAAAAGACTGTTTCAAAACTGTTCTATCAAAAGAAAGGTCCAACTCTGTGTGTTGAATGCACACATCAAAAGCAGTTTCTGAGAATGTTTCTGAATAGTTTTAATGTGAAGATATTCCCGTTTCCAATGAAGGCCTCAAAAATCTCCAAATATCCACTAGCAGATTCTACAAAAGGAGTGTTTCAAAACTACTCTATCAAAAGGAACGTTCAACTCTGTGAGATGAATGCACACATCACAAAGAAGTTCCTGAGAATGCTACTGTCTAGTTTTTATGTGAAGATATTTCCTTTTCCACCATAGGCCTCAAATAGCTCCAGATACCCACTTGCAGATTCTGCAAAAGGACTGTTTCAAAACTGCTCTGTCCAAAGGAAGGTTCAACTCTGTGAGTTGAATGCGCACATCACAAAGGAGTTTCTGAGAATGCTTCTGTGTAGTTTTTATGTGAAGATATTACCTTTTCCACCATACGCCTCAAAGCGCTCCAAATGAACAGTTGCACATGTTACAAAAAGAGTGTTTCAAAACTGCTCTTTCAAAAGAAAGATTCAACTGTGTGACTTGAATGCACACATCACAACGAAGTATCTCAGAATGCTTCTGTCTGGTTTTTATGTGAAGATATTTCCTTTTCCAACATAGGCCTCAAAACTCTCCAAATGAACACTTGCAGATTCTACAAAAAGACTGTCTCAAAACTGCTCTGTCAAAAGGAAAGTTCAGCTCTGTGAGTTGAAGGCTCATATCACCAACAAGTTTCTGAGAATGCTTCTGTCTAGATTTCATGTGAAGATATTTCCTTTTCCACCATAGGCCTCAAAGCGCACTAAATGAACACTTGCAGCTTCTACAAAAAGAGTGTTTCAACACTGCTCTATCAAAAGAAAGGTTCAGCTCTGTGAGTTGAATGCACACATCAAAAAACGTTTTCTGAGAATGCTTCTGACTAATTCTTATGTGAAGATATTCCCCTTTCCAATGAAGGCCTCAAAAATCTCCAAATATACACTAGCAGATTCTACAAAAGGAGTGTTTCAAAACTGCTCTATCAAAAGGAAGTTTCAACTCTGTGAGTTGAATGCACACATCACAAATTAGTTTCTGAGAATGCTTCTGTCTATTTTTTATGTGAAGATATTTCCTTTTCCACCATAGGCCTCAAGGCGCTCCAAATGAACACTTGCAGATTCTACAAAAAGAGAGGTTCAAAACCGCTCTATCAAAAGAAAGGTTCAAATACCTGAGTTGAATGCATGCATCCCAAAGCAGTTTCTGAGAATGCTTCTGTCTAGTTTTTATGTGAAGATATACCTTTTCCAACGAAGGCCTCAAAGAGATCCAAATATACACAAGCAGATTCTACAAAAGGAGTGTTTCAAAATATCTCTATCAAAAGAAAGGTTCAACTCAGTGAGTTGAATGCACACATCACAAAGCAGATTTTGAGAATGCTAATATTTATTTTTTATGTGAAGATATTCCCGTTTCCAACAAAGTCCTCAAAAATATCCAAATATCTCTAGCAGATTCTACAAAAGGAGTGTTTCAAATCTGCTCTATCAAAAGGATGGTTCAACTCTGTTAGTGGAATGCACACATCACAAAGTTGTTCCTGAGAATGTTTCTGCTTAGTTTTTATGTGAAGATATTTCCTTTTCCACCATAGGCCTCAAATCGCTCCAAATATCCATTTGCAGATTCTACAAAAAGACTGTTTCAACACTGCTCTATAGAAAGGAATGTTCAACTATGTGAGTTGAATGCACACATCACAAAGAGGTTTCTGAGAATGCTTCTGTCTAGGTATTATGTGAAGATATTTCCTTTTCCACCATAGGCCTCAAATTGCTCTAAATGAACACTTGCAGATTCTACAAAAAGAGTGTTTCAAAACTGCTCTATCAAAAGAAAGGTTCAACTCTGTGTGTTGAATGCACACATCACAAAGAACTTTCTGAGGATTCTTCTGTCTACTTTTTATGAGAAAATATTCCCGTTTCCAATGAAGGTATCAAAAATCTCCAGATATCCATTAGCAGATTCTAGAAAAGGAGTGTTTGAAAACTGCTCTATCAATAGAAATGTTGAAATTTGTTAGTTGAATGCACACATCACGAAGAACTTCCTGAGAATGCTTCTGCCTAGTTTTTATGTGAAAATATTTCTTTTTCCACCATAGGCCTCAAATCGCTCCAAATATTCACTTGCAGATTCTACAAAAAGACTGTTTCAAAACTGCCCTGTCAAAAGGAAAGTTCAACTCTGTGAGTTGAATGCACACATCACAAAGAAGTTTCTGAGAATACTTCTGTCTAATTTTTATTTGAAGATATTTCCTTTTCCACCATAGGCCTCAAAGTGCTATAAATGAACACTTGCAGATACTACAAAAAGAGTGTTTCAAAACTGCTCTATCAAAAGAAAGGTTCCACTCTGTGAGTTGAATGCACACATCACAAAGCAGTTTCTGAGAATGCTTCTATCTAGATTTTATTTCAAGATATCCCATTTCCAAAGAAGACCTCAAAGAGCTCCAAATATCCAAAGGCAGTTTCTACAAAAGGAGTGATTCAAAACTGCTCTATCAAAAGAAAAGTTCAACTCTGACAGTTGAATACACACATCACAAAGAAATTTCTGATAATGTTTCTGTCAAGTTTTTTTCTGAAGATATCACATTTTCCACCATAGGCCTCAAATCTCTCCAAATATCCACTTGCTGATCCTATAAAAAGACTGTTTCAAAACTGCTATAGCGAAAGGAAGGTTCTACCCTGTAAGTTGAATGCACACATCACAAAGAAGTTTCTCAGAATGCTCTGTCAATTTTTTATGTGAAGATATTTCCTTTTCCACAAAAGGCCTCAAAGCTCTTTAAATGAACACTTGCAGATTCTACAAAAAGACTGTTTCAAAACTCCTCTGTCAAAAGAAATGTTCAACTCTGTGAGTTGAAAACACATATCACAAAGAACTTTCTTAGAATGCTCCTGTCTAGTTTTTATGTGAAGACATTTCCTTTTCCACCATAGACCTCAAAGCGCTCTAAATGAACATTTGCAGCTTCTACAAAAACAGTGTTTAAAAACTGCTCTATCAAAAGAAACTTTCAACTCTGTGAGTTGAATGCACGCATCAAAAATCACTTTCTGAGAATGCCTCTGACTAATTTTAATGTGAAGATATCCCGTTTCCAATGAAGGCCTCAAAGACCTCCAAATATCTATGAGCAGATTCGACAAAAGGAGTGTTTCAAAACTGCTCTATCAAAAAAAAAGGTTCAACTCTATGAGTTGAATGCACACATCACAAAGCAGGTTCTGAGAAAGCTTCTGTCTAGTTTTTATGTGAAGATATTCCCGTTTCCAAAGAAGTCCTCAAAAATTTCCAAATATCCACCAGCAGGTTAGACAAAAGGAGTGTTTCAAAACGGCTCTATCAAAAGAAAGGTTCAACTCTGTTAGTTGAATGCACACATCACAAGAGTTCCTGAGAATGCTTCTGTCCAGTTTTATGTGAAGATATTTCCTTTTACACCATAGGCCTCAAATCGCTCTAAATATCCATTGTGGATTCTACAAAAAGACTGCTTGAAAACTGCTCTCTCAAAAGGAAGGTTCAACTCTGTGAGTTGAATGCACACATCACAAAAAAGTTTCTGGGAATGCTTCTGTCTAGTTTTTATGTGAAGATATTTCCTTTTCCACCGTAGGCCTCAATGCGCTCAAAAGGGCCAAATGCAGATTCTACAAAAAGAGGGTTTCAAAACTGCTCTATCAAAAGAAAGTTTCAAAGCCATGAGTTGAATGCACACATCACAAAGCAGTTTCTGAGAATGTTTTTGTCAAGTTTTTAATGTGAAGATATCCCGTTTCCAAAGAAGACCTTAAAGAGCTCCAAATATTTACAAGCAGATTCCATAAAACGAGTGTTTCAAAACTGCTCTATGAAAAGAAATTTTCAACTCTGTTAGTTGAATGCACACATCACAAAGAAGTTTCTGAGAATGCTTCTGTCTAGTTTTTATGTGAAGATATTTTCTTTTCAACCATAGGCCTCAAATTGCTCCAAATATCCACTTGCTGATTCTGCAAAAAGACTGCTTCAAAACTGCTCTGTCAAAAGGAAGGTTCAACTCTGTGATTTGAATGCACATACCACAAAGAAGTTTCTGAGAATCCTTCTGTCTAGTTTTTATGTGAAGATATTTCCTTTTCCACCATAGACCTCAAAGCGATCCAAATGAACACTTGCAGATACTACAAAAGGAGTGTTTCAAAACTGTGCTATAAAAAGAAAGCTTCAACTCTGTGAGTTGAATGCACACATTACAAAGAAGTTTCTGAGAATGCTTCTGTCTAGTTGTTATGTGAAGATGTTTCCTTTTCCACCGTAGACCTCAAAGCGATCCAAATGAAGACTTGCAGATCCTACAAAAAGAGTGTTTCAAAACTACACTATGAAAAGAAATGTTCAACTCTCTGAGTTGAATGCAACATCACAAAGCAGTTTCTGAGAATGCTTCCATGTAGTTTTTACATGAAGATATCTCGCTTCCAATGAAGGCCTCAAAAAGCTCCAAATATCCACAAGCAAATTCCACAAATGAGGGTTTGAAAACTGCTCTATCAAAAGAAAGTTTAAACTCTGTGAGTTAAATGCACACATCAGAAAAACGTTCCCAAGAATGCTTCTGTCAAGTTTTCATTAAAGATATTTCCTTTTCCACCACAGGCTTCAAATCGCTCCAAATTTCCACTTTCAGATCCTACAAAAAGACTGTTTCAAAACTGCTCTATAGAAAGGAAGGTTCAACTCTGTGATTTGAATGCACACATCACAAAGATGTTTCTGAGAATGCTTCTATCAAGTTTTTATGTGAAGATATTTCCTTTTCCACCAAAGGACTCAAGGCTCTCCAAATGAACACTTGCAGATTCTGCAAAAACAGTGTTTCAAAACTGCTGTATCAAAAGAAAGTTTCAACTCTGTGAGTCGAAAGCACACATCACAAAGACGTTTCTGAGAATCCTTCTGTCTAGTTTTTATGTGAAGATATACCGTTTCCAACGAAGGCCTAAAAAAGCTCACAATTCTTACAAGCAGATTCCACAAAAGAGTGTTTCAAAACTGCTCTATCAAAAGAAATGTTCAACTTTGTGAGTTGAATGCACACACCGCAAAGAAGTCACTGAGAATGCTTCTATCTAGTTTTTATATGAAGATATTCCGTATTCCAACATAGACCTCAAATCGCTCCAAATATCCACTTGCAGATTCTACAAAAAGAAGGTTTCAAAACTGCTCTCTCAAAAAGAAGGTTCAACTCTGTGAGTTGAATGCACACATCTCAAAGAAGTTTCTGAGAATGCTTCTGTCTAGTTTTTATGTGAAGATATTTTCTTTTCCAACATAAGCCTCAAA
This sequence comes from Homo sapiens, assembly GCF_000001405.40. Taxonomy (NCBI): domain Eukaryota; kingdom Metazoa; phylum Chordata; class Mammalia; order Primates; family Hominidae; genus Homo; species Homo sapiens. The sequence goes on along the minus strand of NC_000001.11, from coordinate 125,055,820 downwards.
GGGCTCAAAATGAACAATTGCAGTTTCTACAAAAAGAGAGTTTCAAAACTGCTCTATCAAAGGAAAGGTTCAACTCTGTGACTTGAATGCACACATCAGAAAGCAGATTCTGAGAATGCTTTTATCTAGTTTTTATGTGAAGATATTCCCGTTTCCAACGAAATCCTCAAAAATTGCCAAATATCTACTAGCAGATTCTACAAAAGGGGTGTTTCAAAACTGCTCTATCAAAAGAAAGTTTCAACTCTATTAGTTGAATGCACACATCACAAATTAGTTTCTGAGAATGCTTCTGTCTATTTTTTATGTGAAGATATTTCCTTTTCCACCATAGGCCTGAAATTGCTCAAATATCCACTTGCAGATTCTACAAAAAGACTCTTTCAAAACTGCTCTCTCAAAAGGAAGGTTCAACTCTGTCAGTTGAATGCGCACATCAGAAAGACGTTTCTGAGAATACTTCTGTCAAATTTTTTGGTGAAGATATTTTCTCTTCCGCCATAGGCCTCAAATTGCTCCAAATTTCCACTTTCAGATCCTACAAAACGACTGTTTCAAAACTGCTTTATAGAAAGGAAGGTTCAACTCTGTGAGTTGAATGCAGACATCACAAGTAAGTTTCTGAGAATGCTTCTGTCTAGTTTTTATGTGAAGATATTTCCTTTTCCACCAAAGGCCTCAAAACTCTTCAAATATACACTTACCAATTCTACAAAAAGAATGTTCCAAAACTGTTCTATCAAAAGAAAGTTTCAAATCCGTGAGTTGAATGTACACATCAAAAAGCGGTTTCTGAGAATCCTTGTGTCTACTTTTTATGAGAAGATATACCGTTTCCAATGAAGGCCTCAAAAATCTCCAAATAACCACTAGAAGATTATAGAAAAGAAGTGTGCCAAAACTGCTCAATCAAAAGAAAGGTTCAGCTCTGTTGGTTGAATGCACATATCACAAAGTTTCTGAGAATGCTTCTGTCTAGTTTTTATGTGAAGATATTTCCTTCTCCACCATAGGCTTCAAATTGCTCAAATTTCCACTTGCAGATTCTACAAAAAGACTATTTCGAAACTGCTCTCTCAAAGGAAGGTTCAACTCTGTGAGGTGAATGCTCACATCAAAAAGAAGTTCCTGAGAATGATTCTGGTCTACTTTTTATGTGAAGATATTTCGTTTTCCAACATAGGCCTCAAATTGCTCCAAATATCCTCTTGCAGATTCTACAAAAAGACGGTTTCAAAACTGCTCTCTCAAAAGGAAGGTTCAACTCTGTGGGTTGAATGCACACATCGCAAAGAAGTTTCTGAAAATATTCCTATCTAGTTTTTATGGGAAAATATTTCCTTTTCCACCATAGGCCTCAAAGCGCTTCAAATGAACACTTGCAGATTCTACAAAAAGAGTGTTTCAAAACTGCTCTGTCAAAAGGAACGTTCAAATCTGTGAGTTGAATGCATACATCACAAAGAAGTTTCTCAGAATGCTTCTGTCTAGTTTCTATGTGAACTTATTTCCTTTTCAACCACAGGCCTCAAAGCACTCCAAATGAACACTTGCAGATCCTACAAAAAGGGTGTTTCACAACTGCTCTATCAAAAGAAAGGTTCAACTCAGTGAGTTTAATGCACACCTCACAAAGCAGTTTCTGAGAATGCTTCTATCTATTTTTATGAGACGATATTTCTGTTTTCAATGAAGGCCTCCAAAATACCCAAATATCCACCAGCAGATTCTTGAAAAGCAGGGTTTCAAAACTTCTCTATCAAAAGAAAGGTTCAAGTCTGTTAGTTGAATGCACATATCACAAAGAAGTTCCTGAGAATGTTTCTGTCTAGTTTTAATGTGAAGATACTTCCCTTTCCACCATAAGCCTCAAATTACTCCAAATATCCACTTGCAGATCCTACAAATAGACTTTTTCAAAACTGCTCTCTCAAAAGGAAAGTTCAACTCTGTGAGTTGAATTCACAAATCACAAAGAAGTTTCTGACAATATTTCTGTCTAGTTTTTATGTGAAGATATTTCCTTTTCCACCATAGTCCCCAAAGCGCTCCCAATGAACATTTTCAGATTCTACAAAAAGTGTGTTTCACAACTGCTCTATCAAAAGAAAGGTTTAAATCTGTGAGTTGAATGCACACATCACAAAGCGGTTTCTGAGAATACCTCTCTCTAGTTTTGGATTGAAGGTACCCTGTTTCAAACGAAAGCTTCAAACAGCTCCAAATATCGACAAGCAGATTCTACAAAAGGAGTGTTTCAAAACTGCTCTATAAAAAGAAAGGTTCAACTGTGTGAGTTGAATGTCCACTTCACAAAGCAGTATCTGAGAATGCTTCTGTCTAGTTTTTATGTGAAGATATTCCCTTTTCCAAAGAAGGCCTCAAGGAGCTCCAAATATCCACTAGCAGATTCTACAAAAGGAGTGTTTCAAAACAGCTCTATGAAAAGAAACTTTCAACTCTGTGAGTTGAATGCACACATCACAAAGAAGTTTCTGAGAACGGTTCTCCCTAGTTTTTATGTGAAAATATTTCCTTTTCCACCATAGGCTTCAAATCGATCCAAATATCCACTTGCAGACTCTACAAAAAGAGGGTTTCAAAACTGCTCTATCAAAAGGAAGGTTCAACTCTGTGAGTTGCATGCACACATCACAAAGAAGTTTCTCAGAATGCTTCTGTCTAGTTTTTATGTGAAGATATTTCCTTTTCCACCATAGGACTCAAATCGCTCAAATCTCCACTTGCAGATTCTACAAAAAGATGGTTTCAAAACTGCTCTCTCAAAGGAGGGTTCAATTCTGTGAGTTGAATGCACACATCACAAAGAAGTTTCTGAGAATGCTTCCATGTAGTTTTTATGTGAAGATATTTCCTTTTCCACCATAGGCCTCAAAGCGCTCCAAATGAACACATGCAGATTCTACAAAAAGAGTGTTTAAAAACTGCTCTATAAAAAGAAAGGTTCAACTCTGTGAGTTGAATGCACACATCACAAAGCAGCTTCTGAGAATGTTTCTGTCTACTTTTTATGAGACTATATTCCAGTTTCCAACGAAGGCCTCAAAAATCTCCAAATATCCACTAGCAGATCCTAGAAAAGGACTGTTTTAAAGCTGCTATATCAAAAGAAAGGTTCAACTCTGTTGGTTGAATGCACACATCACAAAGCAGTTTCTGACAATGCTTCCGCCTAGTTTTTATGTGAAGATATTTCCTTTTCCACCATAGGCCACAAATCGCTCCAAATATCCACTTGCAGGTTCTACAAAACGACAGTTTCAAAACTGCTCTCCTCAAAAGGACGTTTCAACTCCGTGAGTTGAAGGTACACATCACAAAGAAGTTTCTGAGAGTGCTTCTGTCTAGTTTTAATGTGAAGATATTTCCTTTTCCACCATAGGCCTCAAAGTCCTCCAAATGAACACTTGCAGATTCTATAAAAAGAGTGTTTCAATACTGCTCTATCAAAATCAAGGTTCAACTCTGTGAGTTGAATGCCCACATCACAAAGCAGTTTCTCAGAATGCTTCTGTCTAGTTTTTATTTGAAGATATTCCCGTTTCCAACGAAGTCCTCACAAATCTCCAAATATCCGCTAGCAGATTCTAGAAAAGGAGTGTTTCAAAAATGCTTTACCAAAAGGAAGGTTCAAATCTGTAAGTTGAATGCACACATAACAAAGAAGTTTCTGAGAATGCTTCTGTCTGGTTTTTAAATCAAGATATTTCCTTTTCTATCACAGGCCTCAAAGCGCTCCAAATGAACACTTGCAAATTCTGGAAAAAGAGTGTTTCAAAACTGCTCTTCTCAAAAGGAAGGTTCAACTCTGTGAGTTGAATGGACGCCTCACAAGGAAGTTTCTGAGAATGCTTCTGTCAATTTTTTATGTGAAGATATTCCATTTTAAAATGAAGGCCTCAAAGAGCTCCAAATATCCACTAGCAGATGCTACAAATGGAGTGTTTCAAAGCTGCTCTATGAAAAGAAAGGTTGAACACTGTGAGTTGAATGCAAACATCACAAAGAAGTTTTTGAGAATGCTTCTCTCAAGCTCTTACGTGAAGATATTTCCTTTTCCTCCATAGGCCTCAAATCGCCCCAAATATCCACTTGCAGATTCTACAAAAAGACTGTTTCAAAACTGCTCTCTCAAAAGGAAAGTTCAACTCTGTGAGTTGAAAGCACACATCACAAAAAGTTTCTGAGAATACCTCTGTCTAGTTTTTATGTGAAGATGTTTCCTCTTCCACCATAGGCCTCAAAGCGCTCCAAATGAAAACTTGCAGATTCTACAAAAAGATTGTTTCAAAACTGCTCTATCAAAAGAAAGGTTCAACTCTGTGAGTTGAATACACACATCACAAACCAGATTCTGAGAAGTCTTCTGTATAGTTTTTATGTGAAGATATTTCCTTTTCCACACTAGGCCTCAAATGCTCCAAATGAACACTTGCAGATTCTACAAAAAGAATATTTCAAAACTGCTCTATCAAAAGAAATGTTCAACTCTGTGAGTTGAATGAACACATCACAAAGCAGTTTCTGAGAATGCTTCTGTCTAGTTTTTATGTGATAGTTGAATGCACACATGACAAAGAAGTTCTTGAGAATGCTTCTGTCTAATTTTTATGTGAAGATATTTCCTTTTCCACCATAGGCCTCAAATCGCTCCAAATATACACTTGCAGCTTCTACAAAACGTTTGTTTCAAAACTGCTCTTCTGAAAAGGAAGGTTCAACTCTGTGCGTTTAAGGCACACATCACAAAGAAGTTTCTGAGAGTGGTTCTGTCTAGTTTTTATGTGAAGATATTTCCTTTTCCACTATAGGCCTCAAAGTGCTCCAAGTGAACACTTGCAGATTTTACAAAAAATGTTTCAATACTGCTCTATCAAAATTAAGGTTCAACTCTGTGAGTTGAATGCACACATCAAAAGAATTTTGTGAAAACACTTCTGTCAAATTTTTATGTGAAGATATTTCCTTTTCACTGAGAGGCCTCAAATCGTTACAAATATCCACTTGCCGATCCTTCAAAAAGAGTGTCTCAAAACTGCCCTATCAAAAGGAAGGTTCAACTCTGTGAGTTGAATGAACACATCACAAAGGTTTCTGAGAATGCTTTTGTCTAGTTTTTATGTGAAGATATTTCCTTTTCCACCATAGGCCTCCAAGTGCTCCAAATGAACACATGCAGATTCTACAAAAAGAGTGTTTCAAAACCGCTCTATCGAAGGGAATGTTCAACTCTGTGAGTTGAATGAAACATCGCAAAGCAGTTTCTGAGAATGCTTCTGTCTAGTTTTTATTTGAAGATATCCCGTTTCCAACGAAGGCCTTAAAAATCTCCAAATATCCACTAGCAGATTCTAGAAAAGGAGTGTTTCAAAACTGCTCAATCAAAAGAAATGTTGAACTCTGTGACTTCAATGCACACATCACAAAGAAGATCCTGAGAATGCTTCTGTTTGGTTTTTATGTGAAGGTATTTCCTTTTACACCATAGGCCTCAAATCGCTCCAAATTTCCACTTGCAGGTCCTACAAAAAGACTGTTTCAAAACTGCTCTCTCAAAAGAAAGGTTCAACTCTGTGAGTTGAATGCACACATCACAAAGAAGTTTCTGAGAATGATTCTGTCAAGTTTTTTATGAAGATATTTCCTTTTCCACCTTAGACCTCAAATCGCTCCAAATGTCCACTTGCAGATCATACAAAAAGACTGTTTCAAAACTGCTCTATCCAAAGGAAGGCTCAACTCTGTGAGTTGAATGCGCACATCACAAAGAAGTTTCTGAGAATGCTTCTCTCTTGTTCTTATGTGAAGATATTTCCTTTTCCACCATAGGCCTCAATGCACTCCAAATGAACCCTTACAGACTCTACAAAAAGAGTGTTTCAAAACTGCTCTATCAAAAGAAAGATTCAACTCTGTGAGCTGAATGCAGACATCACAAAGAATTTTCTGAGAATGCTTCTGTCTACTTTTTATGACAAGATATTCCCATTTCCATCGAAGGCCTCAAAAATCTTCAAATATCCACTGGCAGATTCTAGAAAAGGCGTGTTTGAAAACTGGTCTATCAAAAGAAATGTTCAACTCTGTGAGTTGAATGCACACATCTCACAGCAGTTTCTGAGAATGCTTCTGTCTAGTTTTATTAGAAGATATTCCCGTTTCCAATGAAGGCCTCAAATTCTGCAAATAACCACTTGCAGATTCAACAAAAAGAGTGTTTCAACACTGCTCTATCAAAAGAAAGGGTCTACTCTGTGAGTTGAATGCACACATCACAAAGCAGTTTCTGAGAATGCTTTTGTCTAGTTTTTATTTGAAGATATGCCGTTTCTAATGAAGGTCTCAAAGAGCTCCAAATATTTACAAGCAGATTCCACAATAGGAGTGTTTCAAAACTGCTCTATCCAAAGGAAGGTTCAACTTTGTTAGTTGAAAGCACACATAAGAAAGAATTTCCTGAGAATGCTTCTGTCTAGTTTTTATGAGAAGATATTTCTTTTTCCACCATAGGCCTCAGAGGGCTCCAAATGAACACTTGCAAATTCTACGAAAAAGAGTGTTTCAAAACTGCTGTATTGAAAGCTTCAACTCTGTGAGCTGAATGCACACATTGCAAAGATGTTCCTGAGATTGCTTCTGTCTAGTTTTTATGTGAAGATATTTCATTTTACACCATAGGCCTCAAATAGTTCCAATTATCCACTTGCAGACCCTACAAAAAGACTGTTTCAAAACTGCTCTATGAAAAGGAAGGTTCAACTCTGTGAGTTGACTCCACACATCACAAAGAAGTTTCTGAGGAAGCTTCTGTATACTTTTTATGTGAAGATACTTCCTTTTCCACCATAGGCCTCAAAGCCCTCCAAATGAACACTTGCAGATTCTACAAAAACAGGACTTCAAAACTGCTCTATAAAAAGAAAGGTTCAACTCTGTGAGTTGAATGCACACATCCCAAATCAGATTCTGAGAATGCCTCTCTCTGGTTTTTATGTGAAGATATTCCTGTTTCCAACGAAGTCTTCGCAAATCTCCAAATATCCACTAGCAGATTCAACAAAAGGAGTGTTTCAAAACTGCTCTGTCAGAAGAAAGGTTCAATTATGTGAGTTGAATGCACACATCACACAGAAGTTTCTGAGAATACTTCTCTCCAGTTTTTATGTGAAGATATTTCTTTTTCCACCATATTCCTCAAATCGATCAAAATATCCACTTGCAGAGTTTACAAAAGACTGTTTCAAAACTGCTGTATAAAAAGGAAGTTTCAACACTGTGAGTTGAATGCACACATCACAAAGAAGTTTCTGAGAATGCTTCTGTCTAGTTGTTATGTGAAGATATTCCCTTTTCCACAATAGGCCTCAAATCGCTCCAAATATCCAGTTGCAGATGTTACAAAAAGACTGTTTCAAAACTGCTCTCTCAAAAGGTAGATTCAACTCTGTGAGTTGAAGGCACACATCACAAAGCAGTTTCTGAGAATGCTTCTGTCTAGTTTTTATTTGAAGATATCCCATTTCTAACGAAGGCCTCAAAAATCTCCAAATATCCACTAGCAGATTCTAGAAAAGGAGTGTTTCAAAACTGCTCTATCAAAAGAAATGTTCAACTCTCTGAGTTCAATGCACACATCACAAAGAAGATCCTGAGAATGCTTCTGTCTAGTTTTTATGTGAAGATATTTCCTTTTCCACCTTAGGCCTCAAATCGCTCAAATGTCCACTTGCAGATCTTGCAAAAACACTGTTTCAAAACTGCTCTATCCAAAGGAAGGCTCAACTCTGTGAGTTGAATGCACACACCACAAAGAAGTTTCTGAGACTGCTTCTCTCTGGTTTTTATGTGAGGATATTTTTTTTCCACCATAGGTCTCAAAGCGCTCCAAATGAACACTTGCAGATTCTACAACAAGAGTGTTTCAAAACTGCTCTATCAAAAGAAAGGTTCAACTCTGTGAGCTGAATGCACACATCACAAATAACTTTGTGAGAATGCTTCTGTCTACTTTTTATGAGAAGATATTCCCGTTTTCATCAAAGGCCTCAAAAATCTCCAAATATCCACTAGCAGATTCTAGACAAGGAGTGTTTCAAAACTTATCTATCAAAAGAAAGGATCAACTCTGTGAGCTGAATGCACACATCACAAAGAACTTTCTGAGAATGCTTCTATCTACTTTTTATGAGAAGATATTCCCATTTCCATCCAAGGTCTCAATAATCTCCAAACATCCACTAGCAGATTCTAGACAAGGAGTGTTTCAAAACTGCTCTACCAAAAGAAATGTTCAACTCTGTGAGTTGAATGCACACATCTCACAACAGTTTCTGAGAATGCTTCTTTCTAGTTTTTATGTGAAGATATCCCATTTCCATCAAAGGCCTCAAAGAGCTCTGAATATTTACAAGCAGATTTCACAAAATGAGTGTTTCAAAACTGCTCTATCAAAGAGAAGGATTCAACTCTGTGAGTTGAATGCACACATGATAAAGAAGTTTCTGAGAATGCTTCTGTCAAGTTTTTAAGTGATGATATTTCCTTTTCCATCATAGGCCTCAAATCTCTCCAAATATCTACTTGCAGTTACTACAAAAAGACTTTCTCAAAACTGCTCTATCAAAACGAAGGTTCAACTTTGTGAGGTGAATGCACACATCACTTAGAAGTTTCTGATAATGCTTCTGTCTAGTTTTTATGTGAACACATTTCCTTTTCCACCATAGGTCTCAAAGGGCTACAAATCAACACTTGCAGATTCTACAAAAAGAGTGTTTCAAAACTGCTCTATCAGAAGAAAGGTTGAACTCTGTTAGTTGGATGCACACATCACAAAACACATTCTCAGCATGCTTCTGTCTAATTTTTTGTGAAGATATTCCCATTTCAAACGAAGTCCTCAAACACCTGCAAATATCCACTAGCAGATTCTACAAAGGAGTGTTTCAAAACTGCTCTATCAAAAGAAAGATTCACCTCTGTGAGTTGAAAGCACACATCATAAAGAAGTTCCTGAGAATGCTTCTTTCTATTTTTTATGTGAAGATATTTTCTTCTGCAGCACAGACCTCAAATCGCTAGAAATATCCACTGGCACATTCTACAAAAATACTGTTACAAAAGTGCTCTCTCAAAAGGAAGGTTCAACCTTGTGAGTTGAATGCACACATCTCATAGAAGTTTCTGAGAATGCTTCTGTCTAGTTTTTATGTGAGGATATTCCCTTCTGAATGAACACTTGCAGATTCTACAAAAAGAGTGTTCCAAAACTGCTCTATCAAAAGTAAGGTTCAACTCTGTGACTTGAATGCACACATCATAAAGTGGTTTCTGAAAATGCTTCTGTCTACTATTTATGTGAAGACATACCATTTCCAACGAAGGCCTCAAAGAGCTCCAAATATTTAAAGCAGATTCCACAAAAGGAGTGTTTCAAAACTGCTTTATCAAAAGAAATGTTCAACTCTGTGAGTTGAATGCACACATAACAAAGAAGTTTCTGAGAATGCTTCTAATTTTTATGTTAAGTTATTTCCTTTTGCACCATAAGCCTCAAAGCACAATAAATGAACACTTGCATCTTCTACAAAAAGAGTGTTTCAAAACTCCTCTATCAAAAATAAAGCTCAACTCTGTGCGTTGAATGCACACATCACAATGCTGTTTCTGCGAACGTTTCTGACTTGTTTTTATGTGAAGATATTCCCATTTCCAACGAAGACCTCAAAAATCTCCAAATATCCTCTAGCAGATTCTACAAAAGGAGTGTTTCAAAACTGCTCTATCAAAAGGAAGGTTCAACTCTGTGAGTTGAATGCACACAACACAAAGAAGTTTCTGAGAATTCTTCTGTATAGTTTTTATGTGAAGATATTTTCTTTTCCATCATAGGCCTCAAAGCGGTCCAAATGAACAATGCAGATTCTACAAAAGAGTGTTTCAAAACTGCTCTATCAAAAGAATGGTTCAACTCTGTGAGTTGAATGCCCACATCACACAGCAGCTTCTGAGAATGCTTCTGTCTACATTTTATTTGAAGATATCCCGTTTCCAATAAAGGCCTGACAGAGCTCCAAGTATCCACAAGCAGATTCTTCAAAAGCAGTGTTTCAAAACTGCTCTGTCAAAAGAAAGTTCAATTCTGTGAGTTGAATGCACACATCACAAGAAGTTTCTGAGAATGCTTCTGTCATGTTTTTATGTGAGGATATTTCCTTTTCCAGAAGAGGGCTCAAATCCCTCCAAGTATCCACTTGCAGATCCTACAAAAAGACTGTTTCAAAACTGTTCTAACAAAAGGAAGGTACAACCCTGGGAGTTGAATGCACACATTGCAAAGAAGTTTCTGAGAATGCTTCTGTCTTGTTTTTATGTGAAGATATTTCCTTTTCCACCAAAGGCCTCAAAGTGATCCAAATGAATACTTGCAGATTCTTCAGAAACAGTGTTTCAAAACTGCTCTATCAAAGGAGAGGTTCAACTCTGTGATTTGAATGCACACATCACAAAGCAGTTTCTGAGAATGCTTCTGTCTAGTTTTTATGTGAAGATATTCCGTTTCCGACGAAGGACTCAAAAAGCTCCAAATATTTAAAAGCAGATTCCACAAAAGGACTCTTTCAAAACTGCTGTATCAAAAGAAATGTTCAACTCTGTGGGTTGAATGCACACATCACAAAGAAGTTCTTGAGAATGCTTCTGTCTCTAATTTTTATGTGATGATATTCCCCTTTCCACAGTAGACCTCAAATCGCTCCAAATATCAACTTGCAGATTCTACAAAAAGACTGTTTCAAAACTGCTCTGTCCAAAGGAAGGTTCAACCCTGTGAGTTGTAGGCACACATCACAAAGAAGTTTCTGAGAATAATTCTCTCTAGTTTTTATGTGAAGATATTTCCTTTTCCACTATTGGCCTCAAAGCACGCAAAATGAACACTTGCAGCTTCTACAAAAAGAGTGTTTCAAAACTGCTCTATCAAAAGGAAGGTTCAACTCTGTGACTTGAATGCACACATCACAAATGAGTTTATGAGAATGCTTATGTCTAGTTTTTATTTGAAGATATCCCGTTTACAAAGAAGGCGTCAAAGAGCTCCAAATATCCACAAGCAGACGCTACAAAAGGAGTGTTCAAAACTGCTCTTTCAAATGGAAAGTTTCACTTCTGTGAGTGGAATGCACACATCACAAAGAAGTTTCTGAGAGTGCTTCTGTCAAGTTTTAATGTGAAGATATTTCCTTTTCCACCATAGGCATCAAATCTCTCCAAATATCCACTTAGAGATCCCACAAAAAGACTGTTTCCAAACTGCTCTTTTAAAAGGAAGGTTCAACTCGGTGAGTTGAAGGCAAACATCACAAAGAGGTTTCTGTGAATGCTTCTGTCTAATTTTTATGTGAAGATATTTCCTTTTCCACCATAAGCCTCAAAGCACACTAAATGAACACTTGCAGCTTCTACAAAAAGAGTGTTTCAAAACTACTCTATCAAAAGAAGGTTCAACTCTGTGACTTGAATTCACACGCCAGAAAGAACTTTCTGAGAATGCTTCTGTATACTTTTTATGAGAAGATATTTCCTTTTCCACCTTAGACTCCAAAGCACTCCAAATAAACACTGGCAGATTCCAAAAAAAAGAGTGTTTCAAAACTGCTCCATCAAAAGAAAGTTTCAATTCTGAGAGTTGATTGCACACATCCCAAGGAACTTACTGAGAATGCTTCTGTCTACTTTTTATGAGAAGATATTCCCGTTTCCAATGAAGGCCTCAAAAATCTCCAAATAACCACTAGCAGATTCTAGAAAAGGAGTGTTTCAAAACTCCTCTATGAAAAGAAATGTTCAACTCTGTTATTTGAATGCACACATCACAAAGAAGATTCTGAGAAAGCTTCTGTCTAGTTTTTATGTGAAGATATTTCCTTTTCCACCATAGGCCTCAAAGCGCTCCAAATGAACACTTGCAGATTCTACAAAAAGAGTGTTTCAAAACTGCTCTATCAAAAGAAAAGTTCAACTCTGTGACTTGAATGCACACATGACAAAGCAGATTCTGAGAATGCTTCTGTCTAGTTATTATGTGAAGATATTCCCGTTTCCAATGAAGTCCTCAAAAATCTGCAAATATCCACCAGCTGATTCTACAAAAGGAGTGCTTAAAAACTGCTCTATCAAAGGAAAGTTTCAACTCTGTGAATTGAATGCACACATCACAAAGAAGTTTCTGAGAATTCTTCTCTCTAGTTTTTATGTGACGATATTTCTTTTCCACCTTAGGCCTCAAATCCCTAGAAATATCCACTTGCAAATTCTACAAAAAGACTGTTTCAAAAGTGCTCTCTCAAAAGAAAATTTCAACACTGTGAGTTGAATGCACCCATCACAAAGAAGTTTCTGAGAATGCTTCTGTCAAGTTTTTATGTGAAGATATTTCGTTTTTCACCATAGGCCTCAAATCGCTCCAAATTTCCAATTCCAGATCCTACAAAAAGACGGTTTCAAAACAGCTCTATCAAAAGGAAGGTTCAAAACTGTGAGATGAAGGCACTCATCAGAAAGAAGTTCCTGAGAATGCTTCTGTCTAGTTTTTATGTGAGGATATTTCCTTTTCCTCAATAGGCTTCAAATCGCTCCAAATATCCACTTGTAGATTTTTCAAAAAGACTGTTTGAAAACTGCTCTATCAAAAGGAAGGTTCATCTCTGTGAGTTGAACTCACAAATCTCAAAGGAGTTTCTGAGAATGCTTCTGATTAGTTTTTATGTGAAGATATTTCCTTTTCCACCATAGGCCTCAAAGCGCTCCAAATGAACTCTTGCAGATTCTACAAAAAGAGTGTTTCAAAACTGCTCTTTCAAAAGAAAGGTTCAACTCTATGAGTTTAATGGACACATCACAAGAACTTTCTGAGAATGCTTCTGTCTACTTTTTATGAGATGATATTCCCGTTTCCAAAGAAGGCCTCAACAATCTCCAAATATCCACTAGCAGATTCTAGAAAAGGAGTGTTTCAATACTGCTCTATCACAAGAAACTTTCAACTCTGTTAGTTGAATGCACACATCACAAAGAAGTTCCTGAGAATGCTTCTGTCAAGTTTTTATGTGAATATATTTCCTTTTCTACCATAGGCCTCAAATCGCTCCAAATATCCACTTGGAGATACTACATAAAGACTGTTTCAAAACTGCTCTCTCAAAAGGAAGATTCAACTCTGTGAGTTGAATGCATACATCACAAAGAAGTTTCTGAGAATGCTTCTGTCTAGTTTTTATGTGAAGATATTTCCTTTTCCACCATAGGCCTCAAAGAGCACTGAATGAACACTTGCAACTTCTACAAAAAGAGTGTTTCATAACTGCTCTGTCAAAAGAAATGCTCAACTCTGTGAGTTGAATTCCCGCATCACAAAGCAGTTTCTGAGAATGCTTCTGACTAGCTTTTATGTGAAGACATTCCCGTTTCCAACGAAGGCCTCAAAAATCTCCAAATATCCACTAGCAGATCCTATAAAACGAGTGTTTCAAAACTGCTCTAACAAAAGGAAGGTTCAACGCTGTGAGCTGAATGCACACACACAAAGAAGTTTCTGAGAATGCTTCTCTCTAGTTTTTATGTGAAGATATTTCCTTTTCCACCATAGGCCTCAAAGCGCTCCAAATGAACTCTTGCAGATTCTACAAAAAGAGTGTTTCAAAACTGCTCTATCAAAAGAAACGTTCTACTCTGTGCGTTGAATGCACACATCACAAAGCAGTTTATGAGAATACTTCTGTCTAGTTTTTATGTGAAGATATTCCGGTTTCAAATGAAGGCCTGAAAGTGGTCCAAATACCCACTTGCAGATTCTACAAAAACAGTGTTTCAAAACTGCTCTATGAAAATGAATGTTCAACTCTGTGAGTCGAATGCAAAAATCAAGTCGTGAAACAACAGGTGCTGGAGAGGATGTGGAGAATTAGGAACACTTTTACACTGTTGGTGGGACTGTAAACTAGTTCAACCATTGTGGAAGTCAGTGTGGCGATTTCTCAGGGATCTAGAACTAGAAATACCATTTGACCCAGCCATCCCATTACTGGGTATATACCCAAAGGACTATAAATCATGCTGCTATAAAGACACATGCACACGTATGTTTATTGGGGCATTATTCACAATAGCAAAGACTTGGAACCAACGCAAATGTCCAACAATGATAGACTGGATTAAGAAAATGTGGCACATATACACCATGGAATACTATGCAGCCATAAAAAATAATGAGTTCATGTCCTTCGTAGGGACATGGATGAAATTGGAAATCATCATTCTCAGTAAACTACCAGAAGAACAAAAAATCAAACACCGCATATTCTCACTCATAGGTGGGAATTGAACAATGAGAACACATGGTCACAGGAAGGGGAACATCAAACTCTGGAGACTGTTGTGGGGTGGGGGGAGAGGGGAGGCATAGCATTGGGAGATATATCTAACGCTAGATGACGAGTTAATGGGTGAAGCACACCAACATGGCTCGTGTATACATATATAACTAACCTGCACATTGTGCACATGTACCCTAAAATTTAAAGTATAATAATAATAAATAAATTTAAAAAAAGAAGTGTCTGAGAATGCTTCTGTCTAGTTTTTATGTGAAGATATTTCCTTTTCCACCAGAGCTCCCAAAGCTCTCCAAATGTCCCTTGCAGATTCTACAAAAAGAGTGTTTCAAAACTGCTCCATAAAAAGGAAGTTTCACCTCTGTGAGTTGAATGCACACATCCCAAAGAACTTTCTGAGAATGCTTCTGTCTAGTTTTTATGTGAAGATTTTTTTCCATTATAAGCCTCAAAGCTCTCCCAATGTCCACTTGCAGATTCTATAAAAAGAGTGTTCCAAACTGTTGTATCAAAAGAAAGGTTCAACTATATGCCTTGAATACACAAATCACAAAGAAGTTACTGAGAATGTTTCCGTCTAGTTTTTATGTGAAGATATTCCAGTTTCCAAACGAAGGCATCAAAGCAGTCCAAATATCCCCTTGCTGAATCTACAAAAAGAGTGTTTTAAAACTGCTCTATCAAAAGGAATATTCAACTCTGTGAGTTGAATGCACACATCACAAAGACGTTTCTGAAAAGTCTTCTGTCTAGTTTTTATGTGAAGATATTTCCTTTTCCACCATAGGCCTCAAAGCTACCCAAATGTCCACTTGCAAATTCCACAAAAAGACAGTTTTGAAACTGCTGTATCAAAAGGAAGGTTCAACTCTGTGAGTTGAATGCACACATCACAAAGAATTTTCTTAGAATGCTTCTGTCTAGTTTTTATATGAAGTTATTCCCGTTTCCAACGAAGACGTCAAAGCAGTCCAAATATCCACTTGCAGATTCTAGAAAAAGAGTATTTCAAAAATGTCCTATGAAAAAGTAAGTTCAAATCTGTGAGTAGAATGCACACATCAGAAAGACGTTTCTGAGAATGCTTCTTTCTAGTTTTTATGTGAAGATATCCCCATTTCCAACAAAGGCCTCAAAGCGGTCCCAATATTCACTTGCAGAGTCTATGAAAAGAATGTTTCAAAACTGCTCTATCCAAGAAAGTTCAACTCTGTGAGTTGAATGCACACATCACAAAGACGTTTCTGAGAATGCTTCAGTCTAGTTTTTATGTGAAGATATCCCCGTTTCCAAAGAAAGCCTCAAATCGGTGCAAATATCTACTTGGAGATTCTACAAAAACAGTGTATCAAAACTGCTCTATGAAATAGAAGATTCAACTCTGTGAGTTGAATGCAAACATGACAAAGAAGTTTCTGAGAATGCTTCTGTCTAGTTTTTATGTGAAGATATTTCCTTTTCCCAGATAGCCTTCAAAGCTCTCCAAATATCCACTTGCAGATTCTACAAAAAGAGCGTTTCATAACTGCTCTATGAAAAGGAAGGTTCTAGTCTGTGAGTTGAATGCAGACATCACAAAGACGTTTCTGAGAATGCTTCTGTCAAGTTTTATGTGAAGATAATCCCGTTTCCAACGAATGCCTCAAACGGTCCAAATATCGACTTACAGATACTACGAAAAGAGTGTTTCAAAACTGCTGTATGGAAAGGAAGGTTCAATTCTCTGAGTTGAATGCACACATCTCAAAGAAGCTTCTGAGAATGCTTCTGTCTAGTTTTTGTGTGAAGATATTTCCTTTTCCACCAAGGCACTCAAAGCCCTCGAATTGTCCACTTGCAGATTCTACAAAAAGAGTGTTTCAATACTGCTATATGAAAAGAAACTTTAAACTCTGTGAGTTGAATGTACACATCACAAATAACTTTCTGAAAATCATTCTGTCCAATTATATGTGAAGATATTCCCGTTTCCAATGCAGACCACAAAGCAGTCCAAATATCCACTTGCAGATCCTACGAAAAGAGTGTTTCAAAACTGCTCTCATAAAAGGAAGGTTCAACTCTGTGAGTTGAATCCACACATCACAAAAAACTTTCTGAGAATGCTTCTGTCTAGTTTTTATGTGGAAATATTTCCTTTTCCACCTAGGCCTGAAAGCTCGCCAAATGGCCACTTGCAGATTTTACAAATATGGTGTTTCAAAACTGCCCTATCAAAACAAAGTTCAACTCTGTGAGATGAATTCACACATCACAAAGAACTTTCTAAGAAAGCTTCTGTCCAGTTTTTATGTGAAGATATTCCGGTTACCAACGAATGCCTCAAAGTGTTCCAAATATCCACTTGCAGATTCTACAAAAAGTGTTTCAAAACTGCTCTATGAAAAGGAAAGTTCAACTTTGTGAGTTGAATACAAACATCACAAAGAAGTTTCTGAGAATGCTTCTGTCTTTTTTTATGTGAAGATATTTCCTTTTCCACCATAGCTCTCAAAGCTCTCAAAATGTCCCTTGCAGATTCTACAAAAAGAGTGTTTCAAAACTGCTCTATCAAAAAGGAAGATTCAACTCTGTGAGATGAATGCACACATCCCAAAGAAGTTTCAGAGAATGCCTCTGTCTAGTTTTCATGTGAAGATATTTCCGTTTCCAACGAAGGCCTCAAAGCTCTCCAAATATCCACTTGCAGATTCTAAGAAAACAGTGTTTCAAAACTTCTCTAACAAAAGGAACGTTCAACACTGTGAGTTGAATGCACACATCACGAAGAAGTTTCTGAGAATGCTTCTGTATAGTTTTAACGTGGAGATACTTCCTTTTCCACCATAGACCTCAAAGCTTTACAAATGGCAAATTGCATATTCCACAAAAAGAGTGTTTCAAAATTGTTCTTTCACAACGAAGTTCAACTCTGTGATTTGAATGCACACATCACAAAGAACTTTCTGAGAATATTCCGTCCAGTTTTTATGTGAGGATATTCCAGTTTCCAACAAAGGCCTCAAAGTGGTCCAAATATCCACTTGCAGATTCTACAAAAACAGTGTTTCAAAACTGCTCTATGAAAAGGAATGTTCAACTCTGTGAGTTGAATGCAAAAATCACAAAGAAGTTTCTGAGACTTTTTCTATCTAGTTTTTATGTGAAGATGTGTCCTTTTCCACCAGAGCTCTCTAAGCTCTCCAAATGTCCCTTGCAGATTCTACAAAAAGAGTGTTTCAAAACTGCTCTATCAAAACGAAGGTTCAACTCTGTGAGTTGAATGCACAGATTTCAAAGAAGGTTCTGAGAATGCTTCTGTCTAGTTTTTATGTGAAGATATTCCCGTTTCCAACGAAGGCCTCAAAGCTGTCCAAATATCCACTTGCAGATTCTACGAAAAGAGTGTTTCAAAACTGCTCTATGAAAAGGAAGGTTCAATTCTCTGAGTTGAATGCAAATATCCCGAAGAAGTTTCTGAGAATTCTTCTGTCTAGTATTTATGTGAAGATATTTCCTTTTCCACAATAGCCCTCAAAGCACTCCAAATTTCCACTTGCAGATTCTACAAAAAGTGTGTCTCCAAACTGCTTTATCAAAAGGAAGGTTCAACGCTGTGAATTGAATGCACACATCAGAAAGACATTTCTGAGAATGCTTCCGTCTAGTTTTTATTTTAGGATATTCCCATTTCCAAAGCAGACCACAAAGCTGTCCAAATATCCACTTGCAGATTTTACAAAAAGAATGTTTCAAAACTGCTCTAACAAAAGGAATGTTCAACTCTGTGAGTTGAATCCATATGTCACAAATAAGTTTCTGAGATTCCTTCTGTCTAGTTTTAATGTGGAGATATTTCCTTTTCCACCATAGGCCTCAAAGCTCTCCAAATGGGCACTTGCAGATCACACAAAAAGAGTGTTTCAAAACTGCCCTATCAAAAGAAAGATTCAACACTGTGAGTTGAACTCACTCATCACAAAGAACTTCCTGAGAATGCTTCTGTCCAGTTTTTATGTGAAGATATTCCGGTTTCTAAGCAATGCCTCAAAGTGGTCCAAATATCCACATGCAGATTCTACAAAAAGAGTGATTCAGAGCTGCTCTATGAAAAGGAATGTCCAACTCGGTGAGTTGAATGCAAAAATCACAAAGAAGTTTCTGAGAATGCTTCTGTCTAGTTTTTATGTGAAGATATTTCCTTTTCCACCATAGCTCTCAAACTCTTCAAATGTCCCTGGCAGATTCTACAAAAAGAGTGTTTCAAAACTGCTCTATCAAAAAGAAGGTTCAACTCTGTGAGTTGAATGCACACATCCCAAAAAAGTTTCTGAGAATCCTTCTGTCTAGTTTTTATATGAAGGTATTCCCGTTTCCAACGAAGGCCTCAAAGCTCTCCAAATATCGACTTGCAGATTCTATGAAAAGAGTGTTTCAAAACTGCTCTAACAAAAGGAAGGTTCAACTCTGTGAGTTGAATGCACACATCCCAAAGAAGTTTCTGAGAATGCTTCTGTCTAGTTCTAATATGGAGATATTTCCTTTTCCACCATAGGCCTCAAAGCTCCCCAAATAGCCACTTGCAGATTCTACAAAAAGAGGTTTTCAAATCTGCCCTATCCAAACAAATTTCAACTCTGTGAGTTGAATGCAAACATCACAAAGAAGTTTCTGAGAATGCTTCTGCCTAATTTTTATTTGAAGACGTTTCCTTTTCCACAATAGGCCTCAAAGCTCTCCAAATGTCCACTTACAGATTCTACAAAAAGAGTGTTTCAAAACTGCTCTATCAAAAGAAAATTTCAAATCTGTGAGTTGAATGCACACATCACAAACAAGTTTCTGAGAATGCTTCTGTGTAGTTTTCATGTGAAGATATTCCCGTTTCCAACGAAGGCCTCAAAGTGGTCCAAATATCCACTTGCAGATTCTACAAAAAGAGTATTTAAAAACTGCTCTATGAAAAGGTTTGTTCAATCCCGTGAGTTGAATGCAAACATCACAAAGAAGTTTCTGAGAATGCTTCTGTCTAGTTTTTATGTGAAGATATTCCCGTTTCAGACGAAGGCCTCAAAGTGGTCAAATTATCCACTTGCAGATTCTACAATAAGAGAGTTTCAAAACTGTACAATGAAAAGGTATATTCGACTCTGTGAGTTGAATGCAAACATCACAAAATAGTTTCTGAGAATGCTTCCGTCTAGTTTTTATGTGAAGATAATTTTTTTCCATCATAGGCCTCAAAGCTCTCCAAATGTCCACTTGCAGATTCTACAAAAAGAGGGTTTCAAAGCTGTTCTTTCAAAAGAAAGGTTCAACTCTATGAGGTGAATGTGCACATCACAAAGAACTTTCTGAGAATGCTTCTGTCTAGTTTTTATGTGAAGATATTCCCGTTTCCAACGAAGGCATCAAAGCAGTCCAAATATCTACTTGCTGATTCTACAAAAAGAGGGTTTCAAAACTGCTCTATCAAAAGGAATGTTCAACTCTGTGACTTGAATGCACACATCATAAATACCTTTCTGAAAATGCTTCTGTCTAGCTTTTATGTGAAGATATTTCCTTTTCCACCATAGGCGACAAAGCTATCAAAATGTCCACTTGCAAATTCTACAAAAAGTGTGTTTCAAAACTGCTCTATCAAAAGGAAGGTTCAACTCGGTGAGTTGAATGCATACATTTCAAAGAAGTTTCTGAGAATGCTTCTGTCTAGTTTTTATTTGAAGATATTCCCGTTTCCAACTAAGGCCTCAAAGCTGTCCAAATATCCACTGGCAGATTCTACGAAAAGAGTGTTTCAACACTGCTGTATGAAAAGAAAGGTTCAACTCCCTGAGTTGAATGCAAATATGCCAAAGAAGTTTCTGAGAATGCTTCTCTCTAGTGTTTATGTGGAGATATTTCCTTTTCCACAATAGGCCTCGAAGCACTCCAAATTTACACTTGCAGATTCTACAAAAAAAGTATTTCAAAACTGCTTTATCAAAAGGAAGGTTCAACACTGTGAATTGAATGCACACATCAGAAAGACGTTTCTGAGAATGCTTCTGTGTAGTTTTTATTTTAAGATATTCCCTTTTCCAACGCAGACCACAAAGTGGTCCAACTGTTCACTTGCAGATTTTACAAAAAGAGTGTTTCAAAACTGCTCTAACAAAAGGAAGGTTCAACTCTGTGAGTTGAATGCACACATCACAAAGAAGTTTCTGAGAATGCTTCTGTCTAGTTTTAATGTGGAGATATTTCCTTTTCCACCATAGGCCTCAAAGCTCTCCAAATGGCCACTTGCAGATTCTACAAAAAGAGTATTTCAAAACTGCCCTATCAAAAGAAAAGTTCAACTCTGTGACTTGAATGCACTCATCAAAAAGAACTTGCTGAGAATGCTTCTCTCCACTTTTCATGTGAAGATATTCCAGTTTCCAACCAATGCCTCAAAGTGGTCCAAATATCCACATGCAGATTCCACAAAAAGAGTGTTTCAAAACTGCTCTATGAAAAGGAATCTTCAACTCTGTGAATTGAATGCGAACATCGCAAAGAAGTTTCTGAGAATGCTTCTGTCTAGTTTTTATGTGAGGATATTTCCTTTTCCACCATAGCTCTCAAACTCTCCAAATGTCCCTTGCAGATTATACAAAAAGAGTGTTTCAAAACTGCTCTATCAAAAGGAAGGTTCAACTCTGTGAGTTGAATGCACACATCCCAAAGAAGTTTCTGAGAATGCTTCTGTCTAGTTTTTATGTGAAGATATTCCCATTTCCAACGAAGGCCTCAAAGCTGTCCAAATATCTACTTGCAGATTCTACGAAAACAGTGTTTCAAAACTGCTCTAACAAAAGGAAGGTTTAACTCTGTGAGTTGAATGCACACATCACAAAGAAGTTTCTGAGAATGCTTCTGTCTAGTTTTTATGTGAAGATATTTCCTTTTCCACCATAGGCCTCAAAGCTCTCCAAATAGACACTTACAGATTCTATAAAAAGAGGGTTTCAAAACTGCCTTATCAAAACAAAGTTCAAATCTGTGAGTTGAATGCACACATCACAAAGAACTTTCTGAGAATGCTTCTGTCCAGTTTTTATATGAAGATATTCCGGTTTCCAAAGAAGGCCTCAAAGTGGTCCAAATATCCACTTGCAGATTCTACAAAAATAGTGTTTCAAAACTGCTCTATGAAAAGGAATGTTCAACTCTGAGTTGAATGCAAAAATCACAAAGAAGTTTCTGAGAATGATTCTGTCTAGTTTTTATGTGAAGATATTTCCTTTTCCATCATAGCTCTCAAAGCTCTTCAAATGTCCCGTGCGGATTCTACAAAAAGAGTGTTTCAAAACTGCTTTATCAGAACGAAGGTTCAACTGTGTGAGTTGAATGCACACATCCAAAAGAAGTTTCTGAGAATGCTTCTGTCTAGTTTTTATGTGAAGGTATTCCCATTTCCAACGAAGACCTCAAAGCTGTCCAAATATCCACTTGCAGATTCTACAAAAGAGTGTTTCAAAACTGCCCTTGATAAGGTATGTTCAACTCTGGGACTTGAATGCAAACATCACAAAGAAGTTTTTGAGAATGTTTCTGTCTAGCTTTTACGTGAATGTATTTCCTTTTCCACCATTGCCCTCAAAGCACTCCATATATCCCCTTGCAGATTCTTCAAAAATAGTGTTTCAAAACTGCTCTATCAAAAGAAAGGTTCAACTATGTTAGTTGAATTCATGCATCACAAAGACGTTTCTGAGAATGCTTCTGTCTAGTTTTTAGGTGAAGATATTACCTTTTCCAAAGAAAGCCTCAAATCGGTTCAAATATCTACTTGCAGAATCTACAAAAAAAGTGTTTCAAAACTGCCCTATGAAAAGGAAGGTTCAGCTCTGTGAGTTGAATACAAACATCATAGAGAAGTTTCTGAGAATGCTTCTGTCTAGTTTTTATGTGAAGATAGTTCCTTTTCCACCTTAGACCTCCAAGCTCTCCAAATGTCCACTGTCAGATTCTCCAAAAAGAGTGTTTTTAAACTGCTCTATCAAGAGAAAGGTTCAACTCTGTGAGTTGAATGCACACATCAGAAACAACTTTCTGAGAATGCTTCTGCCCAGTTTTTATGTGAAGATATTCCCATTTCCACAGAAGGTCTCAAAGTGGTCCAAATATCCAATTGCAGATTCTACAAAAAGAGTATTTCAAAACTGCTCTATGAAAAGGAAGGTTCGTTTTTTTCTTGTAAATTTGTTTGAGTTCATTGTAGATTCTGGATATTAGCCCTTTGTCAGATGAGTAGGTTGCAAAAATTTTCTCCCATTTTGTAGGTTGCCTGTTCACTGTGATGGTAGTTTCTTTTGCTGTGCAGAAGCTCTTTAGTTTAATTAGATCCTATTTGTCAATTTTGGCTTTTGTTGCCTTTGCTTTTGGTGTTTTCGACATGAAGTCCTTGCCCATGCCTATGTCCTGAATGGTAACGCCTAAGTTTTCTTCTAGGGTTTTTATGGTTTTAGGTCTAACGTTTAAGTATTTAATCGATCTTGAATTGATTTTTGTATAAGGTGTAAGGAAGGGATCCAGTTTCAGCTTTCTACATATGGCTAGCCAGTTTTCCCAGCAGCATTTATTAAATAGGGAATCCTTTCCCCATTGCTTGTTTTTCTCAGGTTTGTCAAAGATCAGATAGTTGTAGATATGTGGCGTTATTTCTGAGGGCTCTGTTCTGTTCCATTGATCTATATCTCTGTATTGGTACCAGTACCATGCTGTTTTGGTTACTGTAGCCTTGTAGTATAGTTTGAAGTCAGATTTATTGTGGCATTATTCACAATAGCAAAGATTGGAACCAACCCAAATGTCCAACAATGATGGCCTGGATTAAGAAAATGTGGCACATATACACCATGGAATACTATGCAGCCATAAAAAATGATGAGTTCATGTCCTTTGTAAGGACATGGATGAAATTGGAAATCATCATTCTCAGTCAACTATCACAAGAACAAAAAACCAAACACCGCATATTCTCACTCATAGGTGGGAATTGAACAATGAGATCACATGGGCAGAGGAAGGGGCATATCACACTCTGGGGACTGTTGTGGGGTGGGTGAGGGGGGAGGGATAGCATTGGGAGATATACCTAATGCTAGACGACAAGTTAGTGGGTGCAGTGCACCAGCATGGCACATGTATACATATGTAACTAACCTGCACAATGTGCACATGTACCCTAGAACTTAAAGTATAATAAAAAAAAAAGAAAAGGAAGCTTCAACTCTGTGAGTTGAATGCGAACATCGCAAAGAAGTTTCTGAGAATGCTTCTTTCTAGTTTTTGTGAGAAGATATTTCCCTTTCCAACGAAGGCCTCAATTCGGCCTAAATATCCTCTTTCAGATTCCACGAAAAGAGTGTTTCAAAACTGCTCTAGGACAAGGAAAGTTCAATTCTGTGAGTTGAATGCAAATATCGCAAATAAGTTTCTCAGAATGCTTCTGTCTAGTATGTATGTGAAGATATTTCCTTTTCCAACATAGGCCGCAAAGCTTTCGAAATGTCCACTTGCAGATTCTACAAAAAGAGTGTTTCAAAACTTCTTTATCAAAAGGAAGCTTCAGCTCTGTGAGTTGAAAGTAAACATCACAAAGATGTTTCTGAGAATGCTTCTTTCTAGTTTTTATGTGAAGATATCCCCGTTTCCAAAGAAGACATCAATGCGGTCCAAATATCCACTTGCAAATACTACAAAAAGAGTGTTTTAATACTGCTCTATGAAAAGGAATGTTCAACTCTGTGAGTTGAATGCAAACATCACAAAGATCTTTCTGAAAATGCTTCTGTCTTGTTTTATGTGAAGATATGTGCTTTTCACTATGGACCTCAAAGATCTCCAATGTCCACTTTCAGATTCTACAAAAAAGAGTGTTTCGAAACTACTCTATCAAAAGAAAGTTTCAACTCTGTGAGTTGAATTCACACATCTCAAAGAAGTTTCCGAGAATGCTTCTGTCTAGTTTTTAATGTGAAGATAATCCCGTTTCAAACGAAAGCCTCAAAGTGGTCCAAATATCCACTTGCAGATTCTAAAATAAGAGTGCTTCAAAACTGCTCTATGGTAAGGAAGGTTCAACCCTCTGACTTTAATGCAAACATCACAAAGAAGTTTCTGAGAATGCTTCTGTCTAGTTTTTATGTGAAGATATTTCCTTTTCAACCATAGCCCTCAAAGCGCTCTAAATGTCCACATGAAGATTCTACAAAAAGAGTGTTTCAAAACTGCTCTATGAAAAGTTATGTTCAACTCTGTGAGTTGAATGCAAACATCACAAAGAAGTTTCTGAGAATGCTTCTGTCTAGTCTTTATGTGAAGATATTCACTTTTCCACCATTGCCCTCAAAGCGCTCCAAATGTCCACTTACAAATACTTCAAAAAAAGTGTTTCAAAACTGCTCTACCAAAGGAAAGGTTCAACTCTGTGAGTTGAATGCACACATCACAAAGATATTTCTGAGAATGCTTCTGTCTGGTTTCTATGTGAAGATATTCCTGTTTCCAATGAAGTCCTCAAAGCGGTCCAAATATCCACCTACAGATTCTGCAAAAAAGAGTGTTTCAAAACTTCTCCACGAAAAGGTATGCTCAACTCTGTTAGTTGAATGCAAACATCACAAAGAAGTCTGTGAGAATGCTTCTGTCTAGTTTTTATGTGAAGATCTTTCCTTTTCCACCGTAGTCCTCAAAGCGCTGCAAAAGTCCACTTGTAGATTCCACAAAAAGAGTGTTTCAAAAGTGCTCTATGAAAAGGAAGGTTCACCTCTGTGAGTTGAATGCAGACATTACAAGGACTTTTCTGAGAATGCTTCTGTCTAGTTTTTATGTGAAAATATTCCCGTTTCCAAAGAAGGCCTCAAAGTGGTCCAAATATCCACTTGCAGATTCTACGAAAAGAGTATTTCAAAAGAGCTCTATGAAAAGGAAGGTTTAACTCTGTGAGTTGAATGCAAAGATCACAAAGTTTCTGATAATGCTTCTGTCTATTTTTCATGTGAAGATATTTCCTTTTCTACCATAGGCCTCAAAGCTCTCAAAATGTCCACTTGTAGATGGTACAAAAAGAGTGTTTCAAAACTGCTCTATGATAAGGTATGTTCAACTCTGGCATTTGAATGCAAACATCACAAAGAAATTTCTGAGGACGCTTCCATCTAGTTTTTATGTGAAGATATATTCTTTTGCACCACTGCCCTCAAAGCGCTCCAAATGTCCACTTGCAGATTCTACAAAAAGAGTGTTTAAAAACTGCTCTATGAAAAAGAAGGTTCAACTCTGTGAGTTGAATGCACAGATCACAAAGGCGTTTCTGAGAATGCTTCTGTCTAGTTTTTATGTGAGGTTATTCCCGTTTCCAATGAAGGCCTCAAAGCGGTCGAAATATCCAATTGCAGATTCTACGAAAAGAGTGTTTCAAAACTGCTCAATGAAAAGGAAGGTTCAGTTCTGTGAGTTGAATGCAAACATCACAAAGAAGTTTCTGAGAATGCTTCTGTCTAGTTTTTATGTGAAGATATTTTTTTTTCCATCATAGGCCTCAAAACTCTCCAAATGTCCACTTACAGATTCTACAAAAAGAGTGTTTCAAAACTGCTCTATCAAAAGAAATGTTCAACTCTATGAGTAGAATACACACATCACAAAGTAGTTCATGGGAGTGATTCTGTCTAGTTTTTATGTGAAGATATTCCCTTTTCCAATGAAGACATCAAAGCAGTCAAAATATCCAGTTGCTCATACTACAAAAAGAGTGTTTCAAAACTGCTCTATCAAAACGAAGTTCAACTCTGTGAGTAGAATGCACACATCACAAAGACGTTTCTGAAAATACTTCTGTCTAGTTTTTATGTGAAGATATTTCCTTTAACACCATAGGCCTCAAAGCTATCAAAATGTCCACTTGCAAATTCTACAAAAAGAGTGTTTCAAAACTGCTCTATGAAAAGTTAAGTTCAAATCCGTGAGTAGAATGCGCACACCAGAAAAAGTTTCTGAGAATGCTTCTGTCTAGTTTTTATGTGAAGATACCCCCATTTCAATTGAAGTCCTCAAAGCGGTCCATATATTCACTTGCAGATTCTATGAAAAGAATGTTTCAAAACTGCTCTATGAAAAACAAGGTTCAACTCTGTGAGTTGAATGCACGCTTCACAAAGAAGTTTCTGAGAATGCTTCTGTCTATTTCTTTATGTGAAGATACATCCTTTTCCACAACAGGCCTCA
>NC_000001.11:125026071-125029104 GCF_000001405.40 Homo sapiens | reverse complement strand
AATGAAGGCACACATCACAAAGAAGTTTCTGAGAATACTTCTGTCTAGTTTTTATGTGAAGGTATTCCCGTTTCCAACGAAGGCCCCAAAGTGGTCCAAATATCCACTTGCAGATTCTACAAAAAGAGTGTTTCAAAACTGCTCTAGGAAAAGGAAGGTACAACTCTGTGAGTTGAATGCAAACATCTCAAAGAAGTTTCTCAGAATGCTTCTGTCTTGTTTTTATGTGAAGATATTTCCTTTTCCACCATAGGCCACAATGCTCTCTAAATGTCCACTTGCAGATTCTACAAAAAGAGTGTTTCAAAACTGCTCTATGTAAAGGTCTGTTCAACTCTGTGAATTGAATGCAAATATCACAAAGAAGTTTCTGAGAATC
This sequence comes from Homo sapiens, assembly GCF_000001405.40. Taxonomy (NCBI): domain Eukaryota; kingdom Metazoa; phylum Chordata; class Mammalia; order Primates; family Hominidae; genus Homo; species Homo sapiens. The sequence continues at coordinate 125,028,725 of NC_000001.11, read as the reverse complement.
TTTCTGTCTAGTTTTTATGTGAAGATATTCGCGTTTCCAATGAAGGCCTCAAAGCGGTCCAAATATTCCCTTGCAGATTCTACGAAAAGAATGTTTCAAAACGGCTCCATGAAAAGGAAGTTTCAACTCTTTGAGTTGAATGCAAACATCACAAAGAAGTTTCTGAGAATGCTTCTGTCTAGTTTCTATTTCAAAATATTTCCTTTTCAACAATAGGCCTCAAAGCTCTCTGAAAGTCCACTTGCAGATTCTACAAAAAGAGTGTTTCCAAACTACTTTATCAAAAGAAAAGTTCAACTCTGTGAGTTCAATGCACACATCACAAAGAAGTTTCCGAGAATGCTCCTGTCTAGTTTTTATTTGAAGATATTCCGATTTCCAACGAAGGCCTCAAGGGGACCAAATATCCACTTGCAGATTCTACAAAAAGAGTGTTTCCAAACTGCTCTATGAAAAGGAATGTTCAACTCTGTGAGTTGAATGCAAATATCACAAAGATGTTTTTGAAAATGCTTCTGTCTATATTTTATGTGAAGATATTTCCTTTTCCACTATAGGCTTCAAACTCTCCAAATGTACACTTGCAGATTCTACAAAAAGAGGATTTCAAAACTGCTCTATCAAAAGAAAGTTTCAACGCTGTGAGTTGAAAGCACACATCACAAAGAAGTTTCTGAGAATGCTTCTGTCACGTTTTTATGTGAAGATATTCCCGTTTCCAATGAAGGCCTCAAAGTGGTCCAAATATACACGTGTAGATTCTACAAAAAGAGTGTTTTAAAACTGCTCTATGAAAAGGTTTGCTAAATCCTGTGAGTTGAATGCAAACATCACAAAGAGGTTTCTGAGAATGCATCTGTCTAGTATTTATGTTAAGATATTTCCGCTTCAGACGAAGGCATCAACGTGGTCAAATTATCGACTTGCAGATACTACAGTAAGAGTGTTTCAAGACCGCACTATGAAAAGGTATGTTCAACTTTGTGAGTTGAATGCAAATATCACAAGGAAGTTTCTGAGAATTCTTCTGTCTATTTTTTATGTGAAGATATTTCCTTTTCCAGCATAGGCCTCAAAGCTCACTAAATGTCCACTTGCAGATTCTACAAATAGAGTGTTTCAAAACTTCTCTATCAAAAGAAAGTTTCAACGCTGTGAGTTGCATGCAAATATCACAAAGAAGTTTCTGAGAAAGCTTCTGTCTAGTTTTAACGTGAAGATATTTTTTTTCCATCATAGGCCTCAAAGCTCTCCAAATGTCCACTTGCAGATACTACAAAAAGAGTGTTTCAAAATTGCTCTATCAAAAGAAAGCTTCAACTGTATTAGTTGAATACACACATCACAAAGTAGTTTCTGAGAATGCTTCTGTCTAGTTTTTATGTGAAGATATTCCCTTTTCCAACGAAGGTATCAAAGCAGCCAAAATATCCACTTGCTCCTTCTACAAAAAGAGTGTTTCAAAACTGTTGTATCAAAAGGAATGCTCAACTCTGTGAGTTGAATGCACACATCACAAAGACGTTTCTGAAAATGCTTCTGTCTAGTCTTTATTTGAAGACATTTTCTTTTACACCATAGGCCTCAAAGCTATCCAAATTTCCACTTACAAATTCTACGAAAAGAATGTTACAAAACTGCTCTATGAAAAACAAGGTTCAACTCTGTGAGTTGAATGCACACTTCACAAAGAAGTTTCTGAGAATGCTTCTGTCTAGTTTTTATGTGAAGGTATTTCCTTTTCCACAACAGGCCTCAAAGCTCTCCAAATGTCCACTTGCAGATTCTACAAAATGAGTTTTTTCAAAACTGCTCTATCAAAAGAAAAGTTCAACGCTGTGAGTTGAATACACACATCACAAAGAAGTGCCTGAGAATGCTTCTGTCTAGTTTTTATGTGAAGATATTTCCGTTTTCAACGAAGGCCTCTAAGTGGTCCAAATATCTAATGGCAGATTCTACAAAAAGACTGTTTCAAACTGCTCCATGGAAAGGTTTGTTCAATTCTGTGGGTTGAATGCAAACATCACAAAGAAGTTCCTGAGAATGCTTCTGTCTAGGTTTTATGTGAAGATATTTCCTTTCCCACCATAGGACACAAAGCTCTCCAAATGAACACTTGCAGCTTCTAAAAAAAGAGTGTTTCAAAACTGCTCTATCAAAACAAAGGTTCAACTCTGTGAGTTGAATGCACACATCAAAAAGCAGTTTCTGAGACTGCTTCTGTCTGGTTTTTACTTGAAGATATCCCGTTTCCAATGAAGGTCTCAAAGAGCTCCAAATATTCACAAGCAGATTATTCAAAAGGAGTGTTTCAAAACTGCTCTATCAAAAGAAAGGTTCAACTACATGAGTTGAATGCACACATCACAAAGAAGTTTCTGAGAATGCTTCTCTCTAGTTTTTATTTGAAGATATTTCTTTTCCACCTTAGGCCTCAAATCGCTAGAAATATCCACTTGCAGATTCTACAAAAAGACTGTTTCAAAAGTGCTCTCTCAAAAGAAAGGTTCACCTCTGTGAGGTGAATGCACACATCACAAAGCACTTTCTGTGAGTGCTTCTTTCTAGTTTTTATTTGAAGATATCCCGTTTCCAATGAAGGCCTCAAAGAGCTCCAAATATCCACAAGCAGATTCTACAAAAGGAGTGTT
>NC_000001.11:125013223-125026048 GCF_000001405.40 Homo sapiens | reverse complement strand
AAAGGTTCAACACTGTGAGTGGAATGAACCCAACACAAAGCAGTTTCTGAGAATGCTTCTGACTGGCATTTATGTGAAGATATTCCCGTTTAAAACGAAGGCCTCAAAAATCTCCAAATATCCACCAGCAGACCGTATAAATGGAGTGTTTCAAAACTGCTCTATCAAAAGGAAGGTTCAACGCTGTGAGCTGAATGCACACATCACAAAGAAGTTTCTGAGAATGCTTACGTCCAGTTTTTATTTGAAGATTTTTTTTTCCAATATAGGCCTCAAAGTGCTCCAAATGAACACTTACAGATTCTAGAAAAAGAGTGTTTCAAAACTTATCTTTCAAAAGAAGTGTTCGACACTATGAGTTGAATGCCCACATCACAAAGCAGTTTCTAAGAATGCTTCTGTCTAGTTTTTATGTGAAGATATCCCGTTTCCAACGAAGGCCTCAAAGAGCTCCAAATATCCACAAGCAGATTCTGCAAAAGGAGTGTTTCAAAACTGCTCTATCAAAAGAAAGATTCAACTCTGTGAGTTGAAGAGACAAGTCACAAAGGACTTTCTGAGAATGCTTCTGTCTACTCTTTATGTGAAGATATTTCCTTTTCCACCATAGGCCTCAAATCACTCCAAATTTCCACTTCTAGGTCCTACAAAAACACTGTTTCAAAACTGCTCTATCAAAGGAAGGTTCAACTCTGTGAGTTGAATACACACATCATAAAGAAGTTTCTGAGAATGATTCTGTCAAGTTTTTATGTGAAGTTATTTCCTTTTCTACCATATGCCTCAAAGCGCTATGAATGAACACTTGAAGATACTACAAAAAGAGTGTTTCAAAACTCCTCTTTCAAAGGAAAGGTTCAAATCTGTGAATTGAGTGCACACTTCACAAAGCAGTTTCTGAGAATGCTTCTGTCTAGTTTTTATTTGAAGATATCCCGTTTCTAACAAAATCCCCAAACAGCTCCAAATATCCACAAGCAGATTCTACAAAAGTAGTGATTCAGTACTGCTCTGTAAAAGGAAATGTTCATCTCTCTGAGTTGAATGTCCACATCACAAAGAAGTTTCTGAGAATGCTTCTGTCTAGTTTTTATGTGAAGATATTTCCTTTTCCACAATAGGCCTCAAAGCGCTCCAAATGAACACTTGCATATTCTACAAAAAGAGTGTTTCGAAACTGCTGTATCAAAAGAAAAGTTCAACTCTGTGAGTTGAATGCACTACTCACAAAGCACTTTCTGAGAATGCTTCTGACTAGTTTTTATCTGAAGATATTCCCGTTTCCAACGACGGCCTCAAAAACCTCCATATATCCACTACCAGATACTACAAAAGGAGTGTTTCAATCTGCTCTATCAAAGGGAATGTTCAACTCTCTGCGTTGAATGCACACATCACAAAGAAGTTTCTGAGAATGCTTCTGCCTAGTTTTTATGTGAAGATATTGCCTTTTCCACCGTAGGCCTCAAAGCGCTCCAAATGAACACTTCCAGATTCTAGAAAAAGAGTGTTTCAAAACTGCTCCATAAAAGGAAATATTCAACTCTTTGAGTTGAATGCACACACCAAAAAGCAGTTTCTGAGAATGCTTCTGTCAAGATTTATGTGAAGATGTCCGGTTTCCAACGAAGGCCTCAAAGACCTACTAATATTTAAAGCAGATTCCACAATAGGAGTGTTTCAAAACTGCTCTGTCAAAAGAATGTTCAACTCTGTGAGTTGAATGCATACATCACAAAGCAGTTTCTGAGAACTCTTCTGACTATTTTTTATGTGAAGATATTACCTTTTCCACCATAGGCCTCAAATCATTCTAAATATCCAATTGGATATTCTACAAGAGGACTATTTCAAAACTGCTATTTCAAAATGAAGGTTCAGCACTGTGAGTTGTAGGCACACGTCACAAAGAAGTTTCTGAGAATCCTTCTGTCAAGTTGTTATGTGAAGATATTTCCTTTTTCACCATAGGCCTCAAATCTCTCCAAATATCCACTTGCAGATCCTACAAATAGACTGTTTCAAAACTGCTCTCCCAAAAGGAAGGTTCAACAATTTGAGTTGAATGCTTACATCACAAAGAAGTTTCTGAGAATGCTTCTGTCTAGTTTTTATGTGAAAATATTTCCTTTTCCACCATAGGCCTCAAATCACTCCAAATTTCCACTTCTAGATCCCACAAAGAGACTGTTTCAAAATTGCTCTATCAAAAGGAAGGTTCAACTCTGTGAGTTGAATGCACACATCACAAAGACGTTTCTGAGAATGCTTCTGTCTAGTTTTATGTGAAGTTATTTCCTTTTCCAAAATACGCCTCAAAGCTCTCCAAATGAACACTTGAAGATTCTACAAAAAGAGTGTTTCAACACTGCTCTATCAAAACAAACATTCAAATCTGTGAGTTGAGTGCACACATCACAAAGCAGTTTCTGAGAATGCTTCTAATTTTTATGTGAAGATATCCTGTTTCCAACGAAAACCTCAAACAGCTCCAAATATCCACGAGCAGATTCTACCAAAGTAGTGTTTCAGTACTGCTCTATCAAAAGAAGTGTTCCAGTCTGTGAGTTGAATGCACACATCACAAAGCAGTTTCTGAGAATGCTTCTGTCAACTTTTTGTGTGAAGATATTTCCTTTTTCACCATAGTCTGGAAATCGCTCCAAATATCCACTTGCAGATCCTACAAAAAGACGGTTTCAAAACTGCTCTATCAATAGGAAGGTTCAACTCTGTGGGTTGAATGCACACATCACAAAGAAGATTCTTAGAATGCTTCTGTCTAGTTTTTATGTGAAGTTATTTCCTTTTCCATGATACACCTCTAAGCGCTCCAAGTGAACACTTGAAGATTCTACAAAAAGAGTGCTTCAAAACTGCTCTAAGAAAAGAAAGTTTCAATTCTGTGAGTTGAGTGCACAGATCACAAAACAGTTTCTGAGAAAGCTTCTGTCTAGTTTTTATGTGAAGATATCCCCTTTCCAACAAAAACCTCAAACAGCTCCAAATATCCACAAGCAGATTCTACAAAAGTAGTCTTTCAGTGCTGCTCTATGAAAAGAAATGTTCAAGTCTGCGAGTTGAATGCACACATCACAAAGCAGTTTCTGAGAATGTTTCTGTCTAGTTTTTATGTGAAGATATCCCGTTTCCAACGAAGTCCTCAAAAGCTCCAAATATTTACAAGCAGATTCCACAATAGGAGTGTCTCAAATCTGCTCTATCAAAAGAAAGGCTCAACACTGTCAGTTGAATGCAAACGTTACAAAGCCGTTTCTGAGAACTCTTCGGACTAGCTCTTATGTGAAGATATTCCCTTTTCCACCATAGGCCTCCAATCGCTCCAAATGTTCACTTGCAGATCCTGCAAAAAGACTGTTTCAAAACTGCTCGATCAAAAGGAACGTTCAATTCTGTGAGCTGAATGAGCACATCACAAAAAAGTTTCTGACAATGTTTCCGTCTAGTTTTTATGTGAAGATATTTCCTTTTCTGCCATAGGCCTCAAAGCGCTCCAAATGAACACTGCAGATTCAACGAAAAGACTCTTTCAAAACTGCTCCATTAAAAGAAAGGTTCAAATCTGTGAGTTGAATGCACACATCACAAAGAAGTTTCTGAGAATTCTTCTGTCAAGTTTTTACGTGAAGATATCCCATTTCCAACTAAGGCCTCAAAGAGCTCCAAATATTTACAAACACATTCCACAAAATGAGTGTTTCAAAACTGCTCTGTCAAAAGAAATGTTCAACTCTGTGAGGTGAATGCACACATCACAAAGAAGTTTCTGAGAATGCTTCTTTCTAGTTTTTATGTAAAGATATTTCCTTTTCCACCATAGGCCTCAAAGAGCTCCAAATGAACACTTGCAGATTCTACAAAAAGAGTGTTTCAAAACTGCTCTATCAAGAGAAAGTTTCAACTCTGTGTGTTGAATGCACCCTTCACAAAGCAGTTTCTGAGAATGCTTCTGTCTAGTTTTTATGTGAAGACACCCCGTTTTCAACGAAGACCTCAAAGAGCTCCAAATATCCACTAGCAGATTATTCAAAAGGAGTGTTTCAAAACTGCTCTAACAAATGAAAGGTTTAACCCTGCGAGGTGAATGGTCACATCACAAAGAACTTTCTGAGAATGCTTCTGTCTAGTTTTTATGTAAAGATATTTCCTTTTCCACCATAAGCCTCCAAGAGCTCCAAATAAACACTTGCAGATTCTACAAAAAGGGTGTTTCAAAACTGCTCTATCAAAAGAAACGTTCTACTCTTTGAGTTGAATGCACACATCAAAAGGCAGTTTCTAAGAATGCTTCTCTCTAGTTTGCATTTGAAGATATCCCGTTTCCAATGAAGGACTCAAAGAGCTCCAAATATCCACAAGCAGATCCCACAAAAGGACTGTTTCAAGACTGCTATTCTCAAAAGGAAGGTTCAACTCTGTGAGTTGAATGTACACATCACAAGGAAGTTTCTGAGAATGCTTCCGTCTAGTTTTTTGTGAAGATATTCCCTTTTCCAACGAAGGCCCCAAAGACATCCAAATATCCACTAGCAGATGCTACAAAAGGAGTGTTTCAAAAGTGCTCTACCAAAAGAAATGTTCAACGTTGTGAGTTGAATGCACCCATCACAAAGAAGTTACTGAGAATGCATCAGTCATGTTTTTCTGTGAAGAAATTTCCTTTACCACCATAGGCCGCAAATCGCTCCAAATATCCACTTGCAGATCCTACAAAGAGACTGTTTCAAACAGCTATATCAAAAGGAAGGTTCAACTCTGTGATTTGAATGCACACATCACAAAATTGTTCCTGAGAATGCTTCTGTCTAGTTTTTTTTTTCTTTTTTAAATTATTATTATACTTTAAATTTTAGGGTACATGTGCACATTTTGGAGGCTAGTTACATATGCATACATGTGCCATGCTGGTGCGCTGCACCCACTAACTCGTCATCTAGCATTAGGTATGTTTCCCAATGCTATCCCTCCCGCCTCCCCCCACCCCACAACAGTCCCCAGAGTGTGATGTTCCCCTTCCTGTGTCCATGTGTTCTCATTGTTCAACTCCCACCTATGAGTGAGAATATGTAGTGTTTGGTTTTTTGTTCTTGCAATACTTTACTGAGAATGATGATTTCCAATTTCATCCATATCCCTACAAAGGAAATGAACTCATCATTTTTTACGGCTGCATAGTATTCCATGGTGTATATGTGCCACATTTTCTTAATCCAGTCTATCATTGTTGGACATTTGGGTTGGTTCCAAGTCTTTGCTATCGTGAGTAATGCCACAATAAACATATGTGTGCATGTGTCTTTATAGCAGCATGATTTATAGTCCTTTGGGTATTTACTCAGTAATGGGATGGCTGGGTCAAATGGTATTTCCAGTTCTTGATCCCTGAGGAATCGCCACACTGACTTCCACAATGGTTGAACTAGTTTACCGTCCCACCAACAGTGTAAAAGTGTTCCTAATTCTCCACATCCTCTCCAGCACCTGTTGTTTCCTGACTTTTTAATGATTGCCATTCTAACTGGTGTGAGATGGTATCTCATTGTGGTTTTGATTTGCATTTCTCTGATGGCCAGTGATGATGAGCATTTTTTCATGTGTTTTCCGGCTGCATAAATGTCTTCTTTTGAGAAGTGTCTGTTCATGTCCTTTGCCCATTTTTTGATGGGGTGGTTTGTTTTTTTCTTGTAAATTTGTTTGAGTTCATTGTAGATTCTGGATATTAGCCCTTTGTCAGATGAGTAGGTTGCAAAAATTTTCTCCCATTTTGTAGGTTGCCTGTTCACTCTGATGGTAGTTTTTTTGCTGTGCAGAAGCTCTTTATTTTAATTAGATCCCATTTGTCAATTTTGTCTTTTGTTGCCATTGTTTTTGGTGTTTTAGACCTGAAGTCCTTGCCCATGCCTATGTCCTGAATGGTAATGCCTAGGTTTTCTTCTAGGGTTTTTATGGTTTTAGGTCTAACGTTTAAGTCTTTAATCCATCTTGAATTGATTTTTGTGTAAGGTGTAAGGAAGGAATCCAGTTTCAGCTTTCTACATATGGCTAGCCAGTTTTCCCAGCAGCATTTATTAAATAGGGAATCCTTTCCCCATTGCTTGTTTTTCTCAGGTTTGTCAAAGATCAGATAGTTGTAGATATGCAGCTTTATTTCTGAGGGCTCTGTTCTGTTCCATTGATCTATATCTCTGTTTTGGTACCAGTACCATGCTGTTCTGGATACTGTAGTCTTGTAGTATAGTTTGAAGTCAGGTAGTGTGATGCCTCCAGCTTTGTTCTTTTGACTTAGGATTTACTTGGTGATGTGGGCTCTTTTTTGGTTCCATATGAACTTTAAAGTAGTTTTTTCCAATTCCGTGAAGAAAGTCATTGGTAGCTTGATGGGGATGGCATTGAATCTGTAAATTACCTTGGGCAATATGGCCATTTTCACGATATTGATTCTTCCTACCCATGAGCATGGAATGTTCTTCCTTTTGTGTGTATCCTCTTTTATTTCCTTGAGCAGTGGTTTGTAGTTCTCCTTGAAGAGGTCCTTCACATCCCTTGTAAGTTGGATTCCTAGGTATTTTATTCTCTTTGAAGCAATTGTGAATTGGAGTTCGTTCATGATTTGGCTCTCTGTTTGTCTGTCGTTGGTGTATAAGAATGCTTGTGTTTTTTGTACATTGATTTTGTATCCTGAGACTTTGCTGAAGTTGCTTATCAGCTTAAGGAGATTTTGGGCTGAGACAATGGGGTTTTCTAGATATACAATCATGTCGTCTGCAAACAGGGACAATTTGACTTCCTCTTTTCCTAATTGAATACCCTTTATTTCCTTCTCCTGCCTAATTGCCCTGGCCAGAACTTCCAACACTATGTTGAATAGGAGTGGTGAGAGAGGGCATCCCTGTCTTGTGCCAGTTTTCAAAGGGAATGCTTCCAGTTTTTGCCCATTCAGTATGATATTGGCTGTGGGTGTGTCATAGATAGCTCTTATTATTTTGAAATACGTCCCATCAATACCTAATTTATTGAGAGTTTTTACCATGAAGGGTTGCTGAATTTTATCAAAGGCTTTTTCTGAATCTATTGAGGTAATCATGTGGTTTTTGTCTTTAGCTCTGTTCATATGCTGGATTACATTTATTGATTTGCATATATTGAACCAGCCTTGCATCCCAGGGATGAAGCCCACTTGATCATGGTGGATAAGCTTTTTGATGTACTGCTGGATTCGTTTTGCCAGTATTTTATTGAGGATTTTTGCATCAATGTTCATCAGAGATATTGGTCTAAAATTCTCTTTTTTTGTTGTGTCTCTGCCCGGCTTTGGTATCAGAATGATGCTGACCTCATAAAATGAGTTAGGGAGGATTCCCTCTTTTTCTATTGATTGGAATAGTTTCAGAAGGAATGGTACCAGTTCCTTCTTGTACCTCTGGTAGAATTCAGCTGTGAATCCATCTGGTCCTGGACTCTTTTTGGTTGGTAAGCTATTGATAATTGCCACAATTTCAGCTCCTGTTATTGGTCTATTCAGAGATTCAATTTCTTCCTGGTTTAGTCTTGGGAGAGTGTATGTGTCGAGGAATTTATCCATTTCTTCTAGATTTTCTAGTTTATTTGTTAGAGGTGTTTGTAGTATTCTCTGATCGTAGTTTGCACTTCTGTGGGATCGGTGGTGATATCCCCCTAATCATTTTTTATTGTGTCTATTTGATTCTTCTCTCTTTTTTTCTTTATTAGTCTTGCTAGCAGTCTATCAATTTTGTTGATCCTTTCAAAAAACCAGCTCCTGGATTCATTAATTTTTTGAAGGGTTTTTTGTGTCTCTATTTCTTTCAATTCTGCTCTGATTTTAGTTATTTCTTGCCTTCTGCTAGCTTTAGAATGTGTTTGCTCTTGCTTTTCTAGTTCTTTTAATTGTGATGTTAGGGTGTCAATTTTGGATCTTTCCTGCTTTCTCTTGTGGACATTTAGTGCTATAAATTTCCCTCTACACACTGCTTTGAATGTGTCCCAGAGATTCTGGTATGTTGGGTCTTTGTTCTCGTTGGTTTCAAAGAACGTCTTTATTTCTGCCTTCATTTTGTTATGTACCCAGTAGTCATTCAGGAGCAGGTTGTTCAGTTTCCATGTAGTTGAGCAGTTTTGAGTGTGTTTCTTAATCCTGAGTTCTAGTTTGATTGCACTGTGGTCTGAGAGATAGTTTGTTATCATTTCTGTTCTTTTACATTTGCTGAGGAGAGCTTTACTTTCAAGTATGTGGTCAATTTTGGAATAGGTGTGGTGCTGAAAAAAATGTATATTCTGTTGATTTGGGTTGGAGAGTTCTGTAGATGTCTATTAGGTCCGCTTGGTGCAGAGCTGAATTCAATTCCTGGGTTTCCTTGTTGACTTTCTGTCTCGTTGATCTGTCTAATGTTGACAGTGGGGTGTTAAAGTCTCCCATTATTAATATGTGGGAGTCTAAGTCTCTTTGTAGGTCACTCAGGACTTGCTTTATGAATCTTGGTGCTCCTGTATTGGGTGCATATATATTTAGGATAGTTAGCTCTTCTTGTTGAATTGATCCCTTTACAATTTTGCAATGGCCTTCTTTGTCTCTTTTGATCTTTGTTGGTTTAAAATCTGTTTTATCAGAGACTAAGATTGCAACCCTTCTGCATGTGAGATGGGTTTCCTGAATACAGCACACTGATGGGTCTTGACTCTTTATCCAATTTGCCAGTCTGTGTCTTTTAGTTGGAGCATTTAGTCCATTTACATTTAAAGGTTTTATTGTTATGTGTGAATTTGATCCTGTCATTATGATGTTAGCTGGTTATTTTGCTTGTTAGTTGATGCAGTTTCTTCCTAGTCTCGATGGTCTTTACATTTTGGCATGATTTTGCAGCAGCTGGTACCGGTTGTTCCTTTCCATGTTTAGTGCTTCCTTCAGGAGCTCTTTTAGGGCAGGCCTGGTGGTGACAAAATCTCTCAGCATTTGCTTGTCTGTAAAGTATTTTATTTCTCCTTCACTTATGAAACTTAGTTTGGCAGGATATGAAATTCTGGGTTGAAAATTATTTTCTTTAAGAATGTTGAATATTGGCCCCCACTCTCTTCTGGCTTGTAGGGTTTCTGCCAAGAGATCCTCTGTTAGTCTGATGGACTTCCCTTTGAGGGTAACCCGACCTTTCTCTCTGGCTGCCCTTAACATTTTTTCCTACATTTCAACTTTTGTGAATCTGACAATTATGTGTCTTGGAGTTGCTCTTCGCGAGGAGTATCTTTGTGGCATTCTCTGTATTTCCTGAATCTGAACATTGGCCTGCCTTGCTAGATTGGGGAAGTTCTCCTGGATAATATCCTGCAGAGTGTTTTCCAACTTGGTTCCATTCTCCCCATCACTTTCAGCTACACCAATCAGACGTAGATTTGGTCTTTTCACATAGTCCCGTATTTCTTGGAGGCTTTGCCATTTCTTTTTATTCTTTTTTCTCTAAACTTTACTTCTCGCTTCATTTCATTCATTTCATCTTCCATTGCTGATACCCTTTCTTCCAGTTGATCGCATCGGCTCTTGAGGCTTCTGCATTCTTCATGTAGTTCTCGAGCCTTGGTTTTCAGCTCCATCAGCTCCTTTAAGCACTTCTCTGTATTTGTTACTCTAGTTATACATTCTTCTAAATTTTTTTCAAAGTTTTCAACTTCTTTGCCTTTGATTTTAATTTCCTCCTGTAGCTCAGAGTAATTTGAGTGTCTGAAGCCTTCTTCTCTCAGCTCGTCAAAGTCATTCTCCATCCAGCTTTGTTCCATTGCTGGTGAGGAACTGCGTTCCTTTGGAGGAGGAGAGGCGCTCTGCTTTTTAGAGTTTCCAGTTTTTCTGTTCTGTTTTTGCCCCATCTTTGTGGTTTTATCTACTTTTGGTCTTTGGTGATGGTGATGTACAGATGGGTTTTTGGTGTGGATGTCCTTTCTGTTTGTTAGTTTTCCTTCTAACAGACAGAACCCTCAGCTGCAGGTCTGTTGGAATACCCTGCCCTGTGAAGTGTCAGTGTGCTCCTGCTGGGGGGCGCCTCACAGTTAGGCTGCTCGGGGGTCAGGGGTCAGGGACCTACTTGAGGAGGCAGTCTGCCAGTTCTCAGATCTCCAATTGTGTGCTGAGAGAACCACTGCTCTCTTCAAAGCTGTCAGACAGGGACATTTAAGTCTGCAGAGGTTACTGCTGTCTTTTTGTTTGTCTGTGCCCTGTCCCCAGAGGTGGAGCCTACAGAGGCAGGCAGGCCTCCTTGAGCTGTGGTGGGCTCCACCCAGTTCCAGCTTCCTATCTGCTTTGTTTACCTAATCAAGCCTGGACAATGGCGAGTGTCCCTCCCCCAGCCTCACTGCCGCCTTGCAGTTTGATCTCAGACTGCCCTGCTAGCAATCAGCGATACTCTGTGGGCATAGGACCCTCTGAGCCAGGTACGGGATATACTCTCGTGGTGCGCCGTTTTTTAAGCCCGTCAGAAAAGCGCAGTATTCTGGTGGGAGTGACCCGATTTTCCAGATGCTGTCCATCACCCCTTTCTTTGACTTGGGAAGTGAACTCCCTGACTCCTTGCACTTCCCAAGTGAGGCAATGCCTCTCCATGCTTCAGCTCGCGTATGGTGCACGCACCCACTGACCTGCGCCCACTGTCTGGCACTCCCTGGTGAGATGAACTCGGTACCTCAGTTGGAAATGCAGAAATCACCTGTCTTCTGCGTCGCTCACACTGGGAGCTGTAGACCGGAGCTGTTCCTATTCGGCCATCTTGGCTCCTCCCCTCTTCTGTCTAGTTTTTATGTGAAAATATTTCCTTTTCCACCATAGACCTCAAATCGCTCCAAATATTCACTTGCAAATTCTACAAAAGACTGTGTGAAAACTGCTATATCAAAAGGAAATTTCAACTCTGTGAGTTAAATGCACACATCAAAAAGAAGTTTCTGAGAACACTTCTGTCTAGTTTTTATGTGAAGATATTTCCTTCTCCACAATAGGCCTCAAAGCCCTCCAAACGAACACTTGCAGATTCTACAAAAAGAGTGTTTCAAAACTGCTCTATCAAAAGAAAGGTTCAACTCTGTAAGTTGAAAGCACAAATCACAAAGCAGTTTCTGAGAATCCTTCTGACTAGCTTTTATGTGAAGATATTCCCGTTTCCAACGAAGGCCTCAAAAATGCCCAAATATCCACTAGCAGATTCTCCAAAAGGAGTGTTTCAGAACTGCTCTATCAAAAGAAATGTTCAACTCTGTGAGGTGAATGCACACATCACTAAGAAGTTTCTGAGAATCCTTCTGTCAAGTTGTTATGTGAAGATATTCCCTTTTTCACCCTAGGCCTCAAATCTCTCCAAATATCCACTTGCAGATCCTACAAATAGACTGTTTCAAAACTGCTCTGCCAGAAGGAAGGTTCAACTCTGTGAGTTGTAGGCACTGATCACAAAGAAGTTTTTCAGAATGCTTCTGTCTAAATTTTATGTGAAGATATTTCCTTTTCCACCTTAGCCTTAAAGCGCACTAAATGAACAGTTGCAGCTTCTACAAAAGAGTGTTTCAAAACTGCTCTATCAAAAGAAAAGTTCAGGTTTGTGAGTTGAATGCACACATCACAAAGAAGTTTCTGAGAATGCTTCTCTCTACTTTTTATGTGAAGATATTCCCTTTTCCTCCACAGGCCTCAAGTTAATCGAAATATCCACTTGCAGATTCTATAAAAATACTGTTTCAAATATGCTCTGTCAAAAGAAAGGATCCACTCTGTGAGTTGAATGCACACATTACAAAGAAGTTTCTGAGAATGCTTCTGTCTAGTTTTTATGTGAAGCTATTTCCCTTTCCACCATAGGCTTCAAAGCGCTCCAAATGAACACTTGCCAATTCTACAAAAAGAGTGTTTGAAAACTGCTCTATCAAAAGAAAGGTTGAACTCTGTGAGTTGAAGGCACTCATCAGAAAGCAGTTTCTGTGAATGCTTCTGTCTAGTTTTTATTTGAAGATATCCGGTTTCCAAAGAAGGCCTCAAAGAGCTCCAAATATCCACAAGCAGATAGTACAAAAGGGGTGTTTCAAAACTGCTCTATAAAAAGAAAGTTTCAATTCTGTGAGTTGAATGCACACATCACAAAGAAGTTTCTGAGAATGCTTCTGTCAACTTTTTATGTGAATATATTTCCTTTTCTATCATAGGCCTCAAATCGCTCCAAATATCCACTTGGAGATCCTACAAAAAGACTGTTTCAAAACTGCTCTATCAAAAGGAAGGTTCAACTCTGTGAATTGAATCTATACATCCCAAAGAAATCGCTGAGAATGCTTCTGTCTAGTCTTTATTTGAAGATATTTCATTTTCCACCATATGCCTGAAAGCACTCCAAATGAACCCTTGCAGATTCTACAAAAAGAGTGTTTCAAAACTGCTCTATGAAAAGAAAGTTTCAACTCTGTGAGTTGAATGCACACATGGCAAAGATGTTTCTGAGAATGCTTCTGTCTAGTTTTTTTTTTCATTTTTTTTTTTAAATTATTATACTTTAAGTTTTAGGGTACATGTTGCCAATGTGCACGTTAGTTACATATGTATATATGTGCCATGCTGGTGCGCTGCACCCACTAACTCGTCATCTAGCATTAGTTATATCTCCCAATGTGCTCCCTTCCCCCTCCCCCCACCCCACAACATTTCCCAGAGTGTGATGTTCCCCTTCCTGTGTCCATGTGTTCTCACTGTTCAATTCCCACCTATGAGTGAGAATATGCGGTGTTTGCTTTTTTGTTCTTGCGATAGTTTACTGAGAATGATGATAC